>NC_000010.11:8797878-8949393 GCF_000001405.40 Homo sapiens | reverse complement strand
ATAATATAAAATTTAAAACATCACAACAAAATACCACAAAACGCATTCCCAATTTATGTATAACTTTTCACTTAGGATGCTTATGCTATAAGCACGATGTTTTGTGAATATAAATTGGATTAAGAAAGACCTAAAGATGACCATGTCTTTCATAACCAAAGTCCTCTGTTTGTATTTGTTCAATGACCACTTCGAATTTCCCAAACTGGTTCAGTTCAATTAGTCTCTTTACCTGTTTTAGTGATGACATTTAGGTCTTGTCATAAATAGAAAAGTTCATTTTGTGTGCTTGTTTGTTTACTTGCTTGCTTTAGAGGTGTCAAGATTTTGTGTAATAAGTTTTAAATGTAATTGAATCTTGTGTACCTTTCTCGGGCCCTCACTGTACACATCACTGCTCTCCTAACCTGGATGCCTATTTGTTTGTTTGGGATTAGAGTCAGGTGCTACCCAGTACTCCTTGGCAAACCAACATGAGCCAAGACTTAACATGGACAAAAACAGCTACTTTTGAAGATGTGGTCAATTTTTTCTCTCTTAATGAAGATACAAAGGATGAATTTTTTTCCAAAGCAATTGTAATAAGAAACTATTTTTGTAATCACCAAAGTATGGAATCAAATATATTTTAAATGTCAATGCTACCTCTTAAAATTAGCATAGCACATTGTTGGCCTGGGTAGGACACACTTATACAATACTCTCTGCCGCCATTCCTACCATTTTTAATGCCTCAATTCTGACTTGTGCCAGCCGTAGATAATACATTTCTATGCTAAATATTTTTAGATAATGATGCTGGGTGGGCCATTCTAATGGGATCCTGTTTCCCAGAACTTCCTTCTAATGAGCTTTCAGCTTACATTTCATGTCTTCATGCTCTACTTTACTTCCTGGCTTCCACTATGCAATGCCTGAGACCATTCTAAGAATCACCAAAAACTGGACACTCAAGTCAGAGGAAGTGATATTATAATCTGGTCCTTAAAATATCACTTCCTTCTCCTTGATTTCAGAATATTCTACCTGATGTTGGTGCTGCCCTCATCCTTCCAACTGTACCCTTTAGCCCCAGGCTCCAGGATTGTAAAATTTTATTCCTGATTAAAGTCGTCCTAAACCATGTTATTTTCCACGAGTATACTGAGTTATTGGGGAAAACAATGAAGGCTAATTCTACTCTTCAGGAAAGTTTAATTTCTACATCACTTATCCTAAGACAATAATAGGAACTGGTCTCAAGGTTTGCCTTAATGTTCCCAGAAAGGGGTCCCCATTCAGACCCCAAGAGAAGGTTCTTGGATCTCACACAAAAAGGAATTCAGGGCAAGTCCCTTTTGTAAAGTGAAAGCAAGTTTATCAGGAAAGTAAAGGATAAAGAATGGTTATTTATTCCTTTACTTCCCAGGGCTGCTGATTGCCCATTTTTATGGTTAGTTCTTGATTATATGCTAAACAAGGGGTGGATTATTTATGCCTCCCCTTTTTAGACCATATAGGGTAAATTCCTGACATTGCCATGGCATTTGTTCTTGATTATATGCTAAACAAGGGGTGGATTATTTATGCCTCCCCTTTTTAGACCATATAGGGTAAATTCCTGACATTGCCATGGCATATGTAAGCTGTCACGGCACTTGTGGGAGTGTAGCAGTGAGGCTGACCAGAGGTCACTCTTACCGCCATTTTGGTTTTGGTGGGTTATGGCCGGCTTTTTTACCGTAAACTGTTATATCAGCAAGGTCTTTATGACTCGTATCTTGTGCCGACCTCCTATTCATTCTGTGACTTAGAATACCTGACTTAACTGGGAATGCAGCCCAGTTGGCTTCAGGCTTATTTTACCCAGCTCCTATTCAAGATGAAGTTGCTCTAGTTTAAATGCCTCTGACATTAATATTTGATGTTTCTGTATTCTGCAGAAAATTCATACTATTTTCTTCCCTGTAAATGGGTGACCATAACGTTTTTTGTCCATAGGAGGACTTTTGAGGATGAAAGGGATGCTACTGATGATTAATCCTGAACAATAGCCATAAACCAGAGTACCCCAGGCAAACTGAAATATTACATAGTCCTACTTTAAATAAATACATACTAGACCATAAAGTCATAAAGAGCTTAACATCTGGCCTAGTCATGAAGGCAGGACCCTGAACACTCAGTATAAATTCAGGTTTTAAGCACAGATGCATGGTGAATTCAGAGAAAATTTAGTAGGAACAGACTGTGTTTACCTTACTATCCCATTTTGCCGTAACTTGGCTTCTTGTTGGAGTTCCTTATTCATGCTTCAACTTCATCATGCCCAGGTAGCTTTTCAGTTGAAAAATATGCTCATGCACTCACGTTAACATAAGTAATAGAATAGAGTATTTATAGGTTTTTCAAAATTCCATATATAATCTAGGAGTGGGCCTATTGGTGAATTTTGGGAGAGACATAGAAGTCTCAGAACTTGTACGTTTACTCGTTTCTTTGACAGATGCCAAACACTGGTCTTATCTGAATTAGGAGTGGGTTGTCTTTTCATAATACAGAATAGTTGTCTGGCAGCTAAACCTACCATAAGCTAACAGCATTACTCAACTTTCCATTTTCACTATTTTTACCCATAGAGTGGAAATAAAAGGATCTACTTTCGGTTGCTATATTTTCCCAGTAAAGATACGGTCTTTCCTTTGCTTCCCAAACAGCATATATCACAGCTCATCACCGTATCAGTGGTTGCTCTATTTTAAATGTGGTGTGCCCGAGGCTACATGATGCATTTTGCATCAAGATGGAATCTAGAAAGAAACACTTCAATGCTCTTGTAGGTATCTTTCTGATAACAAATAGTTTGTTTTAAATTTTCTGTATCACCATGAGAGTTGTTTTTTGTTTGCTTGTTTGCTACGGTTTTGAAATAGTAAGTCTGATATATCATTTTGGATGGATTTTTCACGGAGATAAAAACCGTGAAGCTATATGCTTAAATCTATAAACTCAAGAGAGGGAGAATGTGTGAATGATCATGTGGTTGTATTAAGCATAAATCAACCCCAATTTATGCGCTAGATTCAAAAAAGCTGAATGTAACACAATGGAGTAACTGAGACAACTTGATTTATTCTGGTCAAGTATGTCATCTTACCATTATCATTGTTTTTTAAAATTTTTTTTGCTTGTTTAGGTTTTTAGACTTTCATGGATTAGGGGTGATGGTGAAGTTGCTCTTATCCAGTTATAATTCTAAATTCAATTTTCAGGTTTATGTTAATAGTGAGAATATCAAAATAGCACTTAGAGTACAATAATCATGTAATGTTTTCTCCATCCCTATATTTAATGTAACTGGTTGGCGCTATTCAGGTCAAAGTCAATTTAAATTTTTGGATTAGTAGAACATATCCTTTGCTGAATATCAGACTTATCTTCAAAGTGATACAAACACTTCCCTTGCTTTATTTTCTGTCTATAAAAACTTTGGAATGTTTTTAAAGACATTAATATTTTTACATGTGCAGAAAAAGTCTTTAATAAAAAATATTTTTCTTAATATCGCTGCTTACTTTTACATCTCGATAGCTCACTAATTCATTCTACAAAGCCAGGATCACTCTGATACCAAAGCCCACAAAGGACACATACACACAAACAAAACCACAGATCTATATAGTATTCCTGATAAATATACATGAAAACATCCTCCACAAAATAGCAGCAAATCAAATCCAACAGCACATCAAAAGATAATTCACCATGATCAAATGGGTTTCATCCCAGGGATGCAAGGATGGTTCGACATAAGCAAATCAATAATTGTGATTCACCACACAAATAATTTAAAACAAAAACATATAATTATTTCAATATGCAAGAAAAGCATCCAGTAACCCTTCATGATTAAAAACCATCAGGAAACTAGGCATAGAAGGAACATACTTCAAAATAATAAGAGCCGTATTTGACAAACCTACCACCAACATCATACTGAATGGAGGAAAGTTGAAAGCAGTCCTCCCTAGGAACTAGAACAAGGATGCTCACTTACACCATTCCTATTCAGCGTAGTACTGGGAGTCCTAGACAGAGCAATGAAGTAAGAGAGAGAGAAATAAAGCACATCTAAATAGAAAAAGGGAAGTTAAACTATCTCTGTTTGCCAATGATATGATCTTACATCTAGAGAATCCTGACGTACCAATGTTTTATTAAAACAAAAGATAAAATCCCTTAAAACTCTGACTCTATTTCATATCATTTGCTCATTTATACATTGCCTGAAATCAAATGTACATGAACTTGTCTGTTTCCTCCACTTAAAATCCTGAATATAATACTCTCATATGAGGGAGAAAGGAGAAATACAAAATGATGATTATGCATTGAAGAGAACAAAAAATTAAATGGGAGAATTCTGAATGAACTACTTATCACTCCACGTTAAGCAATAAATAAAATTGAACTTCTCTTTAATCTAGATGTACTTATTAAACATTATATATAAACTGGGTTTTTAGAAAGTAATATTTAATTCTCTATCAAGTCTTTATCTTAAAGGCCCATCAAATTAATACCTTTGTAAAATAAATATGCATACTTTATGTTATGGGTTTTATGTAACGTTTGGCAATTCTAGTTTGCTTATGAGGAATGCGTCTAGATTCTGATCCTTTTCTCTTCTTTATGTATACTACTATCTAAGAGATCTCACCAAGTACCGTGGCTTTAAGTACATCAACCTGGTGTTGACAACCAGAGTCATGTCTTCTGGAATTCTACCCTAATCAATAGAGTCTATCTGTAGCTATCTACCTGGGAATGCCTAATAGACTTCACAAATCTGACATGCTAAAATGAAGTTTTGGGAGTTTCTTCCTCTGAAACCTATTCCATCTCATTAACAGGGCACTATCCATCCAGTTGCTTAAGCAAAACCTGGGAAATAATGTTGATTTCTCCTTTTGTCTTTTACCTGTATTCCCCAATCCCTTCATCCACATCAGAGTTTACCTGCAAAATGTACCCTGAAACCAACTTTCCTCTTCATCTAGTCAAAATCTATTTGGAATTTTCATCACCATCTTTCTTAGACTTCTACAGTAACTTCCTTAGTGGTCTCTGCTTAATGTTTCTATTACTTTCCTTGTTTTTACTTTTGACCTAGAAGAAATAGTACACTTATTGAAACACCAAAAAGATCATTTGGATCCCCTGTTAAAGTGGAAGAGAAAAGACCTACTTGGTGATTAAATTCAGCCACTGAAGAGGCAAATGGAGAAGACTACCAAAAGGCCGGCATCATGTACACCTACAGAAAGTAACAAAAGAAGAGACCCCATTGGCATTTTCAGTTAAAAGTATTTGATAAGAAAAAGAGTTACAAATATTGAGCAGGATAAATAAACACTATGACTATCTTCAGAAATATACTATACCTGGAAAATATAAGAGGAATAACTAAAAAGTAATTTCAGACAGTATTGTGATTCAATAAACAGAAGGCCATAAAATTAATATAGAAAACTCAATAGCATTTCCTATCCCCTTTAAGAAAAGGCAAGAAACCAAACCAACTGTCAGTTAGAAGGTTTTAAGAAAGCAATCATTAACTAAAGCAAAACGTAAAATAAAACAAAACAAAATAAAATAAGCCATGTTGGGGTGGGAGACACAGAAATCTGTTTGAAGGGAATGATTGGCACACGACACCTTGAACAAATGAAAAGTGATACTATTCTTTAAGGGGAAAAATTCAACATCCTAAAGATGGTTGGTTTCTTTAAGTCAATTCAACCTGCTTTTACTACAATACTACCTGCTTTTTAAATTGATTATGTGTCACATTTTTCTTCCTTATTCCCATGTCTAGTAACTTTTTGTTATATGCTTGTATTTGTGGATGTTTAATTAGGGACGCTGGATTATGTTATTTTCCCTAAAAGGTGTTAGGTTTTGATATGTCAACAGTTAAATTACTGCTAGAATGTTTGGTCCTGTTAGATTTGGTTGTATTATTTGCTAAGATGAATTAAATTTTGTTTAGTCCCTAGTCTTAATGAGGAGCCTTCCCTAGAGTATGGCACTTACCCATAAAGCATGGCTCCTCTGATATCTCAACTGAATGTGAAATATCTAGTAAGTTAGCTCCTTTCCTTCTGAGCTCATCTCTAACTTCTCCCTATGTCATGCAATACCTCGTATCTCAGTGAAGCTGAGGATCACAGTAGACATCCCTGCTTGGGCTCATGGGAATTACCTTACATTCAGCCCTCAGAGAAGAGCCTATGGGGGACATTCACCCCCTACACACAGCTCCTTAACTAAGGGAGACCACTGCATTGTTTGGACTCCACCTCCCTAGCTCAAAGTCTGCAGTGAATCTGGACTCATCTTAATATTTTCCTTTTCTCAAGGATCATAGTTCTGCTCAGCCTATTGTACAATCCTTAAAAAGAATTGCCTCCTATATTATTCTTGTTGTTCTTTGTTTACTGCAAAAAGAAAATTCCAGTACAAGATGCATTGCTATGGCCCCTGGAGGTCGCTATCTAAATATATTTTTAATAGTATTTAAAAAATGATACTTATAGAATATCTTTTAAAATTTTAGTTGGAAACTATGTCTATGCAGTGCCATTTTAATTTTAAAAAGTATGTATTTTCTTGTCCCTTCATTTCATATATCAAAAATAAATCTATTATGCTTTCCCAAGGATAACAATAATTGCTTCTGAAATTTTCATAATAAACAAGTATTATATAAAAACCTAACAATAAGTTCAAACCAATAAAAACAATAAACAGTAAGCAAGACAAAAAGATAAAGGGAAATGCTCTTACATTTCAGTTTACATGATTGCCTCTTTCTAGGCTAAGGGTAGATAAACAAGCACTATTTTTTTGCATTGCTAAATTCTTCTCAATGCCAAGTACAACTTCAACCTAATAAATAAAAATGACAATTCCATGATATATCTGCACAAGGCCTCTAGTTGAAAATAGAATATAACACAGAAGTTATTTTGAACTATTAAATGCCATGCTTTGCAATATTTTTTTTCCAGTAGTATAGGTGTATTTTATTTTATTTTATTTTTTTATTATTATTATTATACTTTAAGTTTTAGGGTACATGTGCACAATTTGCCGGTTAGTTACATATGTTAATGTTGCCTGAATATATTTTTTTAAATTAGACCTTTTAAGATAATTGTGGGTTCACATGCAGTTGTAAGAAATAACAGAGAGAGAGTTGTTGTATACTCTAGCCAGGTCCCCAGCAATGTTAACATTGTTAAGTGTTTCTATTTAAACAAACATGTCACCAGCAAAATTTCTTTCTTTCTGACTCGTACGCGTTTTAGTTTTGTTTCTTGCCTTATTGCACTGGCTAGCACTTCTGTCACAATGTTGACTAAGAATAGTGGGAGCAAACATTCTTGTTTTGTTCCCAATCTTGAGAGAAGTCTTCAGTTTTTCACCATTATATATAATGTTTGCTGCAATTTTGTTTGTTTTTGCAATGTTTCTTATCAAGTTGAGGAAGTTTTCCTCTATTCCCATTTCTCTAGAAGTTTTAAAAATTATATATGGGTAAATTTCTGAGGCTGAGCATGGTGGGTTCACACCTGTAATCCCAGCACTTTAGGAGGCTGAAGTAGGAGAATCACTTGAGACCAGGAGCTAAAGACCAGCCTGGGCAACATGGTGTGACCTGTCTCTACAAAAAATTAACAACAAATTAGCTGGGCATGGTGGCTTGCACCTGTGGTCTCAGCTACTATGGAGGCTGAGGTGGGAGGATTGCTTGAGCCTGGGAGGTCAAGGCTGCAATTGAGAAGATCCTGTGATTTTTTTCTCTTTTAGCCTGTTAATAAGATTGATTGATTTTCAAATACTAATCTGGCCCTATATTCCTGGAATAAACCCCACTTGGTTGTGGTGTAAATTATTTTTATATATTGCTGAATTCTATCTGCTAATGATAAGGATGTTTGCATCTACGTTTGTGAGAGATATTTGTCTTTAATTTTCTTTTTATTTCTGTACTAGTTTTGTCCAGTTTTAGTGTTGGGGTAATACAGCTTCATAAAATGAATGCCAGTGTATTACCTTCTCCTCTCTATTTTCTGAAAGATGCTGTGAAAAATTAATATTAACTGTTCAATATAATGATCCATTGTAACCATCTGGGAATTGAGATTTCCCTTTTAGGAGTTATGAATTACAAATTACTGATGCAAATTATGAATGCAGATTTCATGATAGTTATGAGGCACTTAATTGATATATTTTGTGTTTGATGAGTTGTAGTAGTTTATGTTTTTTTGGTGAATCAATCTATTTCATATAAGCTGTCAAGTTTACTTGTGCAAAATTGTTTTAGTATTTCCTGATGATTATTTTTATGTTTTCAGGGTCTGTAGTGATATCCTTGACTCATTCCAGGTATTGGAAATGTGTATCTTTTCTCTCTTCTTTTCTCTGTCAGTCTTACTTAATTACAAAATTGAGATTTGTCAATTTTATTGACTTTTTAAAAAAAAAAGTTTTTTTTCACCAATTTTCTCCATTGTTTTTATGTTTTCAATTTCATTGAGTTTTGCTCTCCCTTTTATCCTTCTTTTGGCTTGATTTGGGTTCAAGGTACTCTTCTTTTTTTCTAGTTTCTTCAGATGAGAATTGTGATTATGGATTTGAGACTTTTCTTCTTTTCTAATATTGGCATTTGTGATATAAGTTTTCTTCTCAGCACTGCTTGAGTTTTGTCCACAAATTTTGATATGTTGAACTGTAATTTTCATTCAGCTCTATCTAGTTTTGTTTACCTTGAGGCTTTCTTTTTGACCCATGGATTATTTAGAAATAGGATGTTTCATTTCAAGGGTTTAGAGATTTTCCTGTAATTTTCTTGTCATTAATTTCTAGTTTGATTTGATCATGGTCAGAAAACATGCTTTGATTTCAACTTTTAAATGACTTTCATTGAAAAGCCAAAAAAAATAGATATTGGTGTGAAGTTGCAAAGAAAAGTGAACACTTAACGCATTGTTGTTTGGAATGTAAATTAATTCAACCACTGTGGAAAGCAGTTGGGAAATTTCTCAAAGAATGAAGAGTTGAAGTAGCATTCAAGCTGGCAATCCTGTTACTAAATATGTAGCCAAAGGAAAATAAATTGTTCTACCAAAAGGACACATACACTTGTATGCTCATTGCATCACTGTTCACAATAGCAAAGACATGGAATTAACCTAGGTGCCCATCAGTGGTGGGTTAAATAAAGAAAATGTGGTACATATATGCCATGGAATACTATGCAGCCATAAAAAAGAATAAAAGCATGTCCTTTACAGCAGCACAGATACAGTGGAGGCCGTTATCCTAAGTGAACTAATACAGAAACAGGAAAGCAAATACTGCATGTTCTCACTTATAAATTGGAGCTAAACATTGGGTGTTCATGAATATAAAGATGGGAAAAATAGGTACTGGAGACTAATAGAGGGAGGAGAGAGGGAGGGGGACAACAGCTGAAGAACTTACTATTGGGTACTATGCTCACTACCTGGGTGACAGGTTCAGTCATACCCTAAACCTCAGCATCAAGCAATGTAACTTTGTAACAAACCTGCATATGCACCCCTTGATTCCAAAATAAAAGGAAAAATAAAAACAAAATAAAATAAAGCAACAAAAAAATTATTGAGGTTTGTTTTATGGCAAAAATGTAGTCTATCTTGGTATACATTCCATCGTTGCTTTAAAAAAAGCATATTCTGCTATTCTTGCATAGAGTGTTCTAAAAATGTTGATTATATCTGTTCTTGAATGGTATTATTGAGTTTCATATCCTTCTGATTATTTGTCTAGTTCCATCAATTTTTGAAAGAAGGATGTTGAAATCTCTAACTGTGAATGTGGATGTGTCTATTTCTCATTTCATTTCTGTCAGTTTTTGCTTCACATATTTTGCTTGCCAAATGCGTTGTTTGGTGCATATACATTTAGGATTGTTATATCTTATTGGTGGATTGGTCTGTTTTATCATAATGTCTGTCTCTGATACTATTCTTTGCTCTGAACTTTATTTTATCTAACATTAACATAGCTGTTCATCTTTTATTTTTATTAATATGTGCATGATATATATTTTTCCATCATTTACTTTTGACAAGCTCATATCATTATATATTAAGTTGGTTTCTAACATTCAGTACATAGTTGGGTCATGTTTGTTAATCCACTCTGCTGATCTCAGACTTATTGGTCCATTTAGATTACTTACATTTAATATATTTGTTGATATGATGGGGCTTAAATTTGCTATTTTATTTTTTGTCTGTTCTAGTTTTCTCATTTCTGCTTCATTTTTCCTGTCTTCCTGTGACTTACTCAAACATTTTTACTATTTTTAAATTTATTTATAGTGTTTTTATGTACAGTGTTATAATGTTACTTGTTCAAGTGAAGTATAGAACAAATATCTCCCTTTATATTCCTTTATCTTACCCTGTTTATGATGTAATTGTCTTAGATATTTTATCTACATTAATTTAGAATCACATCAGTGTTCTAATTTTTAACTGTTAAACATAATTTGGAAGACTCAAAAAGAGAAGAAAAATGTATTGTGTATTGTGTTTACTCATAACTTAGATTGTCTTCTTCTTTCTTCTTTCCTGATGTCACAAGATTCCTTCGTTTATCATTTTCTTTGTTAAGAGTATTGACTTTAGCAGTTCTTTTAGAGTAGATGACAAATTCTTTAGGTTTCTGGTTGCAAATTCTCTTACTTTTTTTTCATCTGAGTCTTGATTTTGCATTCATCCCTGAAAGATCTTTTCACTTAGATATACTATTCTGACTTAACGGTCCCTCTTTAGATACGTGAAGTATGTTGTGTCACTTCCTTCTGGCCTCTATGGTTTCTTATAAGAAATCCATTGTCATTTAAATTGTTTTTTCTCTATGAGTAAAGTATTGTTTCTCTCTTGCTGTTTTCAAAATTATATTCTTTGTAGTTAAAAAATTTTGTCTATGATGTTTCTTGTGGTGGATTTCTTTGGGGTTATCTTGCTTGAGATATATCCAGCTTCTTCTTTTTGAATCTGTGAGTTTATTTTTCTTTACAAATTTGGGAAGTTTTTAGTAACTCATTCTTGAAGTACATGTTAATCCTTGCCCTTTATTCTCTTATTCCAGGTCTCTAATACAATGAGTGGTAGAATTTTGTTATAAGCCCACATACCCCTAAAGCTTTGTTAATTTTTTTCTCAGTCTATTTTCTCTCTGCTGTTCAGATTGGGTAAGTCCTCTTGTTCCATTTTCAAGTCCACTAATTCTTCATTCTGCTTCATCCATTCTGCTATTAAGCCCATCTATTGAGTATTTGATTTTGGTTATTATATTTTTCAAAATGTTCCTTTGGTTCTTCTTTATATCTTCAATTTCATTTTCAGACTTTCTTTTTTTAAATCTTTTTCTTTTTGCTGAGACTCTCTCTTCTGTTATTGATGTATGTTGTATGTTCGTAGTTTCTCATTAAAGAATTTTTATGATCATTGCTATAACATCTTTGCAAGTAATTCTAACATTTCTTGTCATTTTGCTGTTGGCATTTAATAATTATCTTTTTTACTCTATTTGAAATTTTCTTGGTTCTTGATATGATGAATGGTTTTATATTGAAATCTGAGGATTTTGACTATCATGTTATGAGACTCTGGGTCTTGTTTAAACCTTCTCTTTTTGCTCTCCTCCTTTCATAACTCCTCACCTGGATAAAGAGGACAGCACGTCATTACTACCAGCTGTAGGTGTGAGTACAGGTCCCCTCACACCTTCTGTTGATGCCTTATTACCACCAGGCAGATTAGAAGTTCTGGTTTCTCTAAATTTCAGTTGACTCTGTAAACTTATAATACTTATCTTATAATTCTGTTGAGAATATAAAATGAAATGATGCATGTAATATATCAAGCCACTGTCTGATGTAGAATAATATTACTAACATTTATGATTTTGAAAATTAATAACAAAGTTGGAGGAAATACACCACCAACTTCAAATGCTAATATGAAGTTACAACGATCAAGATAGTGTGGCATTGGTGTAAAAACAGACATGCTTATCAATGGCGCAGAATTAAAAGAATAGAAATTAACTTCTGCTTTGATAGGCAATGGAGTTTCCAAACAGCACTAAATCATTCACTGGGGGGAAAGATGGTTATTTTTTTTAACAAATAGTGTTAGAAGAATTGGATCTATAAAAAATAGACTTGAACCCTACTCACACTATACACAAACATTGACTGGAAAATGGATCAGAGACTTAAATGTAAGAGCTAAAGCTATAAAACTTTTAGAAGAAAATAAAATAGAAATCAAGCACACAATATACAAAAGAAAAAATGATAAGTTAAACTTCAAGGAAATTATACACTCTTATGCTTTATTGTTTTAAATTTTTTTCCTCTTGCATGTCTAGAAAAAAAATTCTTATGCTTTAAAAGACACTGATAAGGCAATGAAAAGGTAAGTCACAGACTGGGATTTAAAAAAGTTTTATACATCTAATTTAAAAAGAAATCAAAAAACAGCATCTAGAATATATAGAGAAATTTTATGACCAACAAATAAGGCAAGTAACACCATTCAAAAATGACCAAAGGAGTTGTGTAGCCATTTAGCCAAATAAGTTATGCAAATGGCTAATAAGCATGTGAAAAGATGCTCAACATCATTAGAAATTAGAGGAGCACAAATTAAAATCACAAGGTACTAGCGTACATCCACTGAAATGACTATAATTAAAAAGTCTAATAATAGCAAGTATTTGTGGGGATGTGATGAAACTCGAATTCTCATACATTGTTGGTGGGGTTGTAAAATCATAAAAACAACTTGGCAATTTCTTTAAAATTTAGAAATGTAGTTACATACAATCTCAAAATTCCACTCCTAGAAATCAACTCAAGATAAATGAAGCATACACCTAAACTTTATTTGTGAGTATTCACTGCAGAATTATTGATTATGACCCCAAACTGAAAATAATCCAAATCTCAATCACTAATCAACAGACAAGATGTGAAATGTCCATAGTGTGGAATGATATTCATCAATAAAAAGGAATGAACTATTGAAACAGTCAACAACATGGATAAAACTAAAAAATAATCCAGTCAAAAAGACTACATATTTTGTGGTCCTATTTATTCAAAATTTCTAGGAAAGACACATCTATAGGGACAGAAAGCAGATCAATGGTTTCCAGGGGTGGAAGGTGAGAGTGGGATTGATTAAAAGGCAGCTGGATAGAAATTTGTGGAGTGATAGAAGTCTTGTAAAGTTGTGGGGATGGCTACGAAACTGTAAATTTGCCAAAAATCATTGAACTGTATATAGTATTCCTCCTTTGTCCATGGTTTTGCTTTCCATCCTTTCTGTTACCCACGGTACAATACCATAAGACATTTTGAGAGAGAAAGAGAGAGGCCACATTCACATAATTTTTTTATAATAGGTTGTTATACATGTTCTATTTTATTAGTAGTTACTGTTAACCTCTTACTGCACTTAATGTACAAATTAAATTTTTTCCTAGGTACATATGTATGGGAAAACATAGTAGACCTGGGGTTCAATACTATGCATGGTATGCATGGTTTCAGTCATCCTCTCCTGGGGTTCTTGAACCATATCCTTCCAGGATAAGGGGAAACTACCATCCTTATAAATGGATGAATTTTATAGTATATAAGTTTTATCTCACTGAAGCTGTAAAAAGAAGCAAATTTCTGTAAAAACCAACAACCAAAATACGCTGGGTGCGGTGGCTCAGGCCTGTAATCCCAGCACTTTGGGAGGCCGAGGTGGGAGGATCAGGAGGTCAGGAAATTGAGACCATCCTGGCCAACATGGTGAAACCTCGTCTGTACTAAAAATACAAAAATTAGTAGCCGGGTGTGGTGGTGCATGCCTGTAATACCAGCTACTCGGGAGGCTGAGGCAGGAGAATCACTTGAACCCAGGAGGCAGAGGTTGCAGTGAGCCATGGTCTCGCCACTGCACTCCAGCCTGGGCAACAGAATGAGACTGTCAAAAAAAAAAAAGGAAAGAAAGAAAGAAAGAGAGAGAAAGGAAGGAAGGAAGGAGAAAGAAAGAAGAAAGAAAAGAAAGAAAGAAAGAAAGAAGGAAGGAAGGAAAGAGAAAGAAAGAAAGAGAAAAGAAAGAAAGAAGAAAGGAAAAAGAAGGAAGGAAGGAAGGGAGGGAGGGAAGGAGAAAGAAAGAAAAGAAAGAAAAAGGAAAGAAAGAAAGAAAATTTAAAAATGAGATGTGATTGTCAAGAGATATTTGAAGCATTATTCGGTATTATCAACTGCTGTGAAAATTCAGTTTTGCTTTTACTCTCAGGGAGGAAACTGTAACAGCAGCTATTTTTCAAAATTGTTTCTGGTGCTAGCTTTCCTGCTTGTACTACTACAGTGTGCAGTTTCTAATGAGATTCTCTAGAAATGATCAAAGTGTTTGTCACTATGGCATCCAACCATTTTGAACAAACTTTCACTGGACATGCAGCCACCTGCCCAGGAGAGAGGTACCTAATCCTTACCATTTTCTAATTTGGGGTGCCAGAGCCTTTTTTCAGATGGCAGTTGATCAATGAATTAATTTGGAAGAGCTTATCTATAGGTTTTCTACACTAGAGCATAAGAAACACCTATATTAAATATATAGACATATGCAAATGTAGTATGGTGAGGATTCAATCATACAATGACCTTCTAAATTTTAAAGCAGTATGAAAATATACAATGTTATTATTCTGGCATTTTCATTTATTTCTTACAGGTTTTCCAAGAAAAAAATACATAATGAAAAATATCATATATATAGACATATTTGTATATAGGTATACACATAAATGTACACACATTTGCATGTATATGCATACATGCTCATAACCACATACATATCCATAAAAATAGGCCTACATAGATTTGTTTTTATTTTATTTTATTTTAAGATGGAGTCTCACTCTTGTCCTCCAGGCTGGAATGCAGTGGCCCAATCTCAGCTCACTGCAACCTCCGCCTCCTGGGGTTCAAGCGATTCTCCTGCCTCAGGCTCCCAAGTAACTGGGATTACAGGCGCCTGCTACCATGCCCTGCTAATTTTTGTATTTTTAGTAGAGATGGGGTTTCACCATGTTGGCCAGGCTGGCCTCAAACTCCTGATGTCAAGTGACCCACCCACCTTGGCCTCCCAAAGTGCTGGGATTACAGGCGTGAGCCACTGTGCTTGGCCCCTGGCTGTTATAAATTGAGTTGTATCTTCCTAAAACTTACAGGTTTAAGTCTTAATTCCCAGTACCTCAGAACATGACCTGATTTTGGAGATAAGGTTTTTATGGATATGATCAAAATGGGGTCATCGGGGTTGACCCTAATCCAATATGACTGGCGCCCTCATTAAAAGGGAAATTTTGGATACTGAGACACATGTAGGGGGAAGACAATGTGGAAAGACACAGGGAGAAGACAGCTGACTACCAGCCACGGAGAGAGGCCTGGAACAGGCCCTACCTCACAGCCCTTGGAGGGAATCAATCCTTCCCTCACAAGGAAACAGGACACCTTGGTTCTGGACTTCTGACGTCTAGAACTATGAGACACAATAAATTTCTGTTGTTTAGGCTCCTGTGTTGCTTAAGCTGATCTAGAAAACTAATACATTGGCTCATAAGCTGAATTTTAAGATCCTGACACATTCAAATTACTTTGGACACACTAATAAATGAAACTACTATACTAGAATATCTAGCATTACACTTAAATCCAAAAATTCAACTTTATTAGTCTCCAGTCTTCAAAATAGAGTTCCTGCATGTATATGCATATATATGTATATTGATCATCATCCTTTTTTCACTCAATTCCTATTGAGTGTTGACTATATGAGTAAAAGTGCTGTGGCATTATAGATAAAACAGGTATAATGTTATCTATCTATCTGCCTAACTACCTAACTACCTAACTACCTATCTACCTACCTAGCTATCTATCCATCTATCTAGCTGTCATCTATCAGCCCTGCCTCCTTATTCTGTATGTAAGCTGAATAAGTGGCCTCATGCTTGATTTCTTTATTACCCTGACACATTGCCACCTTCCTTATTCGAGAAAAGAGGTGCTTTATAAACATTATTGTACTATTGATCCACCCTCACTTTGAGAAAATCCCATCTTCGATGCTTTCTTATTGCATGAATATATCATCTGTCATGTCTAGGTATCTCTTACCAAAGTGTCTTTAAGGACCTTTCTTTAAAGATCTCATAGATGCTTAAACAAAAGGCATATTGGAAGTGAGCTTATAGACACCTCCACATATCCCTATCTTATCACCATGCATCCAGCAACATGAAGCAGAATCTAAAAGTTAAGCTTGGACCCCATATCCAATGTGTTGTTAGATCCAGCAGAGTTACCTTTCTAAGAAATTCATTTCTTTCCCTCTCTCCCACCAATCCCAATCTTCATTTGAATCCAAGTTCGGCATCACCTTCCCTTTGGACTATTGTGACTTTTCTCCTAAATGACCTGCTGATATTCTTTCTTAATCCTTCCAATCTGTTCTTTACATTGCATTCAAAAGGATCTTCTCAATGTCAAATCTGATCTTGAAACATTCCTGATGGAAAAATTCAAAGCTGTCTCTTGCTTTTAGAATAAATATGTAAGTCCCATTGCATCCTCTATAGCCCAGACATCTAGTATGATATATCTTCCACATCGGTGGACTCAGCTGTCACGAATTGCCCTTGCTCTTCCCATCCAAGTTACATTGACCTTTCTATGTCTTTCTGTTTTCCTTCCTGTCTAGTAAATTCCCACTCATCAGTAATCTTTGGGTCAGTTGTCTTCTTTGGGATGTCTTTCCTGATGTTTTTGAATAGATCAAATTCTTCTATTTTAGGCTTTTATATTACCATGGATTTATTTGTTATGCCACATAACAAATTTGATATTTCATATTTACTTATATAATTATCTTGTGAATATCTGTCTCCCTACCAGCACCTAAGCTTCCAGGTTTTAGAGATAGTGCATGTTCTGTGTTCAAAACTGATTACTCTGTACCCACTTTCAGGATAATATGTATTTGTATAATGAATAAATGAACACAACAGCTCTCACAATCTCAACCCTTGGAGATCATGACTTGCTAAATTTGAAGAGGGAGTATTAATGTCAGTTTTAATGAATGTCTTTTGCATTAAATTTGAATTGAGGAAAAACATAATCGCAAATGAAATGCCACGGGTAAACACAGGTATAATACAAATAGACCTCTATGTTTACAAAAAATGGTCATATATTTGAAAAGAATAATTTATAGATCAGTTTACATTCACAGCTTTTTAAATTGAGAAAGGTCATTTTAGAAGGCAAACATCTCACACTTTTAATGATTTAAAATATGTTTTTATAGATACGATTCAGTCTACATAAACCAAGCGAATTCCATCAGTTTTTGTCTATGAAATTGTTGCTGTTGATAGCTAATGTTTGCTTGAAGAAAAAAAAGTTAAAGAATTAAAACAAACAAAAAGCCATGTATTTGAGTTACCACTGTACATCCTTCTAATAAAGCTTCCCTCACTAGACTCAGAGCTTCTTACTAGAATGACTCTTTTCTGTTCATTGTGTTTTACTAGCACCATGTCAAAAACTCGTCATTAGAGATGGGCTTTTTAAGACATTATGTGTATTTAAAACCTCATCATACTCAGTCATAGTGAGAATATACAAGATATAGCTTTGTCATATACTGCTAATAAAAAATAAATGCATCTAATATTTTTGCAGAAAAATCGGCCAATATTTCAAAAGCCTTTAAGGTTGGAGTATACTAAGACCCATAATTTCCACTTCTAGAAATAATTATTTGAAGATTTCAGAAAGTAAACAAAGCTACAAGTACATGAGATTACATTGTACCATATTTTATAAAAGCTTAGTATTTAAAATATTCCTGAGGTAAAGGGCTGTTAATACAAATTACGTTACATCTATTTAACTGAATACTAATAAGCTATTAAATAGGTTCAACTGTTAACTCTCAACTCAATATGGATGTCTAACATGCATCACAAACCTCTTAGGCTTAAAATAAAATTCTTGATCCCAGCCTCTACAATTCTGTTCTTCTTCTACTTTTCTTCTATTTCAGGAACAGATACCACTGTTCTTCCAATCGTGAGGCCAAATATCTACAGTGATGTTGTTTAATATGCTGACCACTAAACACACATGGCTCTTGAGCCCTTGAAATGTGTGTGGTTCACCCGAATTAAGATGTGTTGTAAGTGTAAAACACAAACCAGGTTTCAAAGGGTTAGCACAAAAAAAATTTAAAAGAATGTAGCATAGCTTATTAATATTTTTATTAATTACATATTGGAATAATATTTTGAGTATGATGAATAAAGTACATCATTAAAATTAATTTCTCTTGTTCCTTTTACTTTTTTAAACTGGCTACTAGAAAACAAATTACATATGTGCCTTACATCTTTTTCTATTGGACTGTGTTGATCTAGAGCTGATATTAATTTTTCTCATTTCCTCAGATACCACCCCAATTCCCAGCCATTGGCAGACCCTGTTTCATCATTCTCCAATACCTACTGTGAGCCTGCCTGTCTCCCCAACAGTTTTCACAGTCCAGGAACCTATGATCTCTGCCCTGGCCACTGCAAGAGCCTGCTACCTGATCTCTGTGCTTCTCCTCCAGCCTCTGTCTAGTAAAATCTGCACCCAGAAGCCAGAATGATCTTTCTTTAAAAATATTAATCAAAACATAGCACTTGCTGGGCGCTGTGGCTCGTATCTGTAATCCCAGCGTTTCAGGAGGCTGAGGCAGGAGGATCACTTGAGGCCAGGAGTTTGAGACCAGCTTGAGTAACACAGCAAGACTTCAGCTTCTAAAATTATTATTATTATTATTAGCCAGGAGTGGTGGTGCTTACCTGTAGTCCTAGCTACTCAGGAGGCTGAGGCGGGAGGATCATTTGAGCGCAGGAGTTCGAGGCTGCAGTGAGCCATGATCGTGCCATTGCATTCCAGCCTGGGCAACAGACAGAGTGAGAGCCTGTCTCTAAATAAATAAATAAAACAGGCAAAGGGCATGGCACTTGTATAACTTCCTATAACACCAAAGATAAGCTCTAAATTTGTTTACTTGGGATTCAAAACCTCACAAATTTTGGCACCTAAAAATCTTTCATCCCTTTATATGCAATACTCCCTCCACCCACTCCACACCCTTTTTCCTGTTACGCCAACATTCCAAGGCCTTGGGACGTTTCACCTCAATGTTCTCTCTGTCTCATTTCACACATACGATCTGCCAACATAATTCTTTTTTCTTGTCATTCAAATCTTACAATTCAAATATTATGGATTCAGAGATTTTTTTTGGACCAGTCAAACCAATCATTCTCTATTCCATCACTTTAAATTATTTTTCTGCCTTACATGAATCAACATCTGATATTTTCTTATTTGTGGGTGTATTTATTGTGTTTAATTTATCACTAGAATACAAGCTCCCCGGGAGCAATTACCTCCTGCCTATCTAGGTATCTGCCATGTCTAGAACAATACGCGACACACAACAGGAATATTATAGACAGTGCTTGAGAAAGAAATGAATACATTAATTAGTTAAGAATATTGTGGTTAATGAATGTTTATTGCCACAAAGTTGACTGTTAAATGTAAAAGGTTTATAAAGCCTATTGCACTGGGTTCCTTCATGTTTGAAAATAATGCATATGTATGTGTGTGCATGTATGCGAAAAAATAGGAAGAAAGGAAAGGAAGAAGAAGAAATATAGGAAAATTATACATACATCAAAGTGGAGGCAAAAGTGGTTATCCCTGAATGGTGAGATAACATGATCTTTATTTTCTTTTTTAAATGTCACTGTTCTTTCTAATTTCAGGAGGGTAGGTAGAAAATGTATATATTGCTTTTATAGTTAAAAGAACAAAATTTTAACAAACAAAAAATATTTACAGATAAATTAATTCTAGTCTCAGCTTCACAATTTCTTCCTAAAACTTGTTACTATAATTACTCATTAGATCATATGGCCTCTGTTTAGCAAACACACATGCGTGCACACACACACACACACACAAACTCACACCCCAGAGTCTTACTTTTCAATAAAAATTTAGAAAAATAAGTTGTAACATATCTTTTACTTCAATTGCACTGTATCAATTTAGCATATTGTACAAAGGAGTCCATGAAATAGGGTAGGGTCTCACAAAATAATCCCTGATTAGAGATAATTTAATTTTGATTTGATCTTTTCTCAATTAGCAACATGCTCATTTTAGACATTTTAGATGTTATCCATTAATCCAAATATTATTGTGTAGAAAAGCACCATATCTAATGGGTCAGACCAAGCTTGGCTTCCATCAGTCCTGGTGTTGTATAATTTGTACGAGAAACAGATAAATGGTTTTAAAAGGTTATACTGTCATTGTTAAACAATATGTCATTATATTACGATAGTCATAAGAAAAGCATGTGAAAGTCAACACAAAAAGAATATAATAATGGAAAAAAGAATATAATATTAAACAGCAACTAGGATATTTTGAACTCAAAGTAAACTAAAATTCTTTGCCTCACAAATAAGCTACTGGTCCAAAACTCATAACATGGAACAATTTTTCAAATGAGAAATAGCAGTGAATATTCATTTGAAAATAAAGACAGAATTTAAGCAGGTAGGATTTAATTAACCAAACTGGAACATAGCCAGACCTCTTCAGCTAACATCTCTGCTCATTAATAGATAACATTATTCCTGCCCTGCTAAACCCAATGTCAGGAACAGAAAACATCCTTGCTTCTCTTCCTCATTGGTAAATATCCAAAATTAAATAGGATATTAAAATGCAAGCATTTCAATTTAAAAAAAAAGTGTTTCTCTGTAAAAGGGGTATAGCCACTTTTCCACTATTAAACTGTTACAATTGGGAAGAATTTATGTCTAGGCAATAATATCATCCACCATACTTTAAAATATAAAATTGAGTGATTAGATCGTTACTGCATACTACAGTGGACTTGTCATGTTTTGTCTAACAAGCTCCTGTTCCTTTCCTTTCTCCAAGTTGCACTCCATTATTTCAGGAGCTACTTCAACCCTGGTCCTTTGAATAAAGTGCTTATTGTGGGAATGGTATCCTGGTCCACCATGATGATCCAGCGATAGATGCACAGTTCAAGCCAGCTTATTTTCCAGGATTTTTCAAATTGCATGTAGAGGAGTGACCTTTCTCTCTCCAATAGGAAATCTGAAGCTGTGGTCCCCATAGAATGCGGGCTCCCATTCTGGCCTCACCTAAGGGTGAGGCAAATTGAAATTAAGATTGTGAAATAGATGCCTCGGACATCAGTCAGAAATGTTTTTAAAGAGAAAGTGTGAATAAGGAAGCCTGGAGGCTAGAGGACGCTTCATTTGTGTCAGACTTCTTTGGCAAGAGCTGTTACATATTCCAAAAATCAGGTCATGGGAGTTGGCAGTGGTGTCTAACATAGAATAAAGTTTGGGAGATATAGTCCTCTCAGAAACAGGAAGAATATTTATAGACATAATTACAACTAATAATTTGATCTGGGCTTGATAAATTATCTTTCATCAGAGTTCAAATATCCATCATCATAATGATTCTTTTTACTCATAATATTCTTGGGAAGTAAAGGAAGACTCAATATTACTATATATAATAACAAGAATATTGTTATACAGCAATATTATATACTAATATATAATATTAGTATATCTTTATTACATAATGTTTATTGTGTTAATAATAATAATGTTTCGGTGAAAATAGAAACATCAGCTGGGACCAAGCTGGAGAGACAGGGTCAAGGTGGTTACTTTAAGGTGAGATTCCAGTCCCTCTTCAGAGACACCTTTATATCCACCTGTCCAGATCCTGGTGGTTTAATCTATTCCTATAATGCTTCTAACTGTTCCTGTATCTACTGCATCCCCTTCTTAAAAAGCTACTCTCTGTTTAAACTAACTTGATGTTGTCAATTGCAATAAAAAATTCTATATCACCTACAAAGGACACAGGAGATGTGTATATAGGTAACAATACACTCATTTCTATTTTTCAACATAGATGGCATGGTGCCTCAGGAGGGAGGCTGGGCAATTGCGCTACAGTATTTCATGGGGTAAACATGTGGTACACACAAATAACTGCTTGACTTTTACTTCACTGAAGTTTTGCCCCACATAACCCTATTTGAGCTACATTAAAGTCCTTGCAAAGGATGCAAACATGTCTTTATTCAGCAATTTTTCCCAAATGTAAACAAATCCGACCAAGACTTTGGAGAAATTTGTGCAAGTTTTACATGCATACGTACTATGTGAACGTGGAACTTACCTTAATACACTTCAGTGAAAGGGTAATTGGATGACCTTAAAATCTTTTTAAAAATCGGCTGGGCACATTGACTCATGCCTGTAATCCCAGCACTTTGGGAGTCCAAGGTGGGTGGATGACCTGAGGTCAGGAGTTCGAGACCAGCCTGGCCAACATTGTGAAACCCCTTCTCTACTAAAAATAGAAAAAAATTAACTGGGCACAGCTACTCAGGAGGTGAAGCAGGAGAATTGCTTGAACCCGGGAGGCAGAGGTTGCACTGAGCCATTGCACTCCAGCCTGGGCAACAGAGCAAGACTCCATCTCAAAAAAAATTTTTTTAAGTTAGAATTTGCAAATAGATTTATATCCTGGGAATATCAAATAATCATGGATTATCTATGAGTAGACTCAATATGTATGGGCTCATCACACAGAAGTATTTAAGAAGGTTAGGGAAACATTACTAATATGAGAAAAAACTAATTTGGATGTAGACAAGCATTGTTCATTTATTCAACAAATATTTATTTTGCCACTGCTAGATACATACCCAAAAGAAAGGAAATCAGTACATCAAAGAGATATCTATACTCCCTAGTTTGTTGCAACACTATTCACAGTAGCCAAGATTTGGAAGCAACCTAAGTATCCATCAACAGAGGAATCAATTAAGAAAATGGGGTACATAGACGCAATGGAGTACTATTCAGCCATAAAAAAGAATGAAACCCTGTCATTTGCAACAACATGGATGAAACTGGAGGTCATTATGTTAAATGAAATATGACAGGCACAGAAAGACAAATTTTGCATGTTCTCATGTATTTGTGGGAGCTAAAAGTTAAAAGAATTGGACTCATGGGGATAGAGAGTAGAAAGACAGTTACCAGGGGCTGGAAAGGATAGTGGGGACTGGAGGAGTGGGTATGGTTAACGGATAAAAAAAATATTTAGAAGAATGAATAAGATCTAGGATTTGATAGCAAAACAAGATAATCATAGTCAATGATAATTTAATTGTACATTTTTAACTAACTAAAAGAGTGTAATTGGATGGTTTGTATAACAAAGGATAAATGCTTGGGGGGATGGAGATCCCATTTACCCTGATTTGATCATTACACATTGTACGTCTGTATCAAAATATCTCATGCACCACATAAATACGTATACCTACAATGTACATATATATATATATATATATTCTGCACCTTCTATATGGCAGATGCTTTTAGAGATACTAAGTTTTTAGAGGCACAAAGTCTTGGTCTAATGCTATTGTTGTCCTGAAGCAGTGCTGTGCAATGGAAATAAAATGAGACCACACACGCAAGCCACATTTGTAGTTTTAAATTTTCCTGGTGAGAACATTTCAAGGAAGAAAACGAAGAATTGTAATAAAATACCGTATTTAACTTGCTATATTTAAGATACTATAATTTCAATATGTAAACACAATTTAAAATTTTTAATGCAATATTTTACACTCTTTTTTCCACACTATGTATGTAAAATTCATTGTATATTTTGTTTGTTCTTGTATTTTTAAAAATATTTTATTTTTAATTTCTGTGGGTACATAGTAGTTGTATATATTGATGGGGTACATGTGCTATTTTGATAGAGGCATGCAATGCATAATAATCACATCATGAAAAATGAAGTAACCATCCCTTTTCATGTTTATCCTCGGTGTTACAAACCACCCAATTATATTCCTTTAGGTTATTTTAAAACATACAATTAAATTATTCTTAGTATAGTCACTCTATGGTGCTATCAAATACTAGGTATTGTTCATTCTTTCTAACAATATTTTGTACTCATTAACCATCCCCACCTTCCCCCCACCCCATACTAACCTTTCTAGCCTCTGGGAACCATCCTTCTATTATCTATCATTGTGTATTTTATACTTATAGCACCCTCAGCTGAGACTAGCCACCTTTCATATGTCCACTAGCACAGGTGGCCGGTGGCTGCCATATTGAACAGTGCAGGTCTACAGGGTAGTAAAAGCTAAGGCCTTATTAAAGTCCAGGCTCCACAAGCCTAGGAGATATAGACTGTCCCCATCTTCTCAATAAAGTAATTGAGGTAAATGGAAATTAACTTCGTTACACTCACACAGTGTCTAAGTGTTCTAAGGGTCTATTCCTATCCAATAAATCACCCCCAAAACGTGATTGCCTAAAACAATAATTTATAATTCTCCCATGCTGTTGTGTGGATTGACCTGACCTGACTAAGAGGCTCTTTCCTGTGCCTGTAGGCCTGTTACTCCAGAACTTGAGTCAACTGAAGGCCTAGTTGCGATGGACACAGATGCTGGCTACTTCCTTTGCATGTCAGGGGTTTCTGCTGGGTTGGTTTGCACAGCTGGGGGTTTGGTAGACACATCTCTCTTATTCTGTGTGGCTTTCCATTTGGCTAAGTCCAGGCTTCCACACAGCAATGCAGTGTCATAGTGATTGACCATGTTAGAGATACCTGGATTTCCCAGAGAAAATGTCCCAAGAAGTCCCAGGTGGAAGCTGCAAGACATTTATGACCTAGCCCAGGAAGTCACTATCATCTTTTATTGCCCAGAGCCAGCCTGCATTGCTAACAGGACAGAGAATGTGTACTAAGAAACATGGTTTGTTGAGAATCTGTCTTAGGAGATTAGTTTCCAAAATAAGCAGGAGAGTAAGAATTTAAAGTCAACTAGCCAGGCATCAGAAATCATATGCTTAATAACTGTGGTTATTAAATACTATCTAATAACTACTGTATATGTAGAATATACCATATGATATGGTTCGGCTGCATCCCCACCCAATCTCATCTTCAGTTGTAGCTCCCATAATTCCCATGTGTTGTGGGAGGGATCCAGTGGGAGATAATTGAATCATGGGGGTGGTTTCCCCATACTGTTCTTATGGTAGTGAATAAGTCTCATGAGATCTGATGGTTTGATAAGGGGTTTCCCCTTTGCTTGGCTCTTATTCTCTCTTGCCTGCCACCACGTAAGACATACCTTGCACCTTCTGCCATGATTGTGAGGCCTTGTCAGCCACATGGAACTGTGCGTCCATTAAACCTCTTTTTCCCTATAAATTGCCCAGTCTCGGGTATATCTTTATCAGCAGCATGAAAACAGACTAATACACAATATATCCCACATGTATTTTTATTCCCCAATACCTAGTATTGTGGCTGGAACATGACATGGACTCAGTGGATACTGCCAAATGAATTAAATAGATGTTGATCTACATATTCTGTTTATCTAGAGTTTATGAGACCTTCATTGTGAGATCAGTGTAACAAGAATTCCTAAGTTTTTAATGCATTCAGATCATGATGTTATGTGCTATAGGGAGTATTATAAGGTTTTATGTCCCTTGAAATCAACAGCTGGGTCCCATTCTTTTTGGATCTCCCCATACTGAATAGTGCAGTGTTAATCATTTAGTATGCACTTGATAATTATGTTGGATTTAAAAGAGTATAATAGGAAATCTAAACCAGACTCCTACAGGCAAGGAAAGCTACAGAATATTGATTCAGGCTTCCAGACACTTATATAGGGAGAGCTTAGATTGACAGGAATGGCATTGAAT
Organism: Homo sapiens; assembly: GCF_000001405.40. Classification (NCBI taxonomy): domain Eukaryota; kingdom Metazoa; phylum Chordata; class Mammalia; order Primates; family Hominidae; genus Homo; species Homo sapiens. Next base: position 8,923,314 of record NC_000010.11, on the reverse strand, counting down.
AGCAGCAGATATTAGCACCTCATGTCACCTTTCCTACAGTGTGTATACGTTTTGAAATTCATTCTAGCTGCCTAGCTAGAACTAGCTGGAAAGATGGTATAATTCATAAAGCTAATAACCTTTTTGGCACATAGTGTGTGACATGGCACCTGGATTCTAAACACCTATATGATTTGTGCTGCCAAAGGTGACTCAGTGGCTGGGAACTTTTTATTCTTCTTACAGTAAACTGGAGGAATTTGTAGCTTTATTATTTTCTTCCAAAGATTGACTAAAAAAATACTGCCACTCATCGTAAATAATTATCACCATAAAATATTCATAGGCTAAGACATGTGGATATGCCTTGAGGATTTTCACATGAGGAAAACCTAATAATGTTTAATAGATGCAAATGGTTACATTATATCAACTGAGTATAGCAATAAGGAAAAACTTCAGTGAAAAATTCCCATTTTCCTAGTTATTATCATTATATACAGACTGGAGCTTCTCTTGGATGATTTTAGACTAATTTCCCCATTGGAGTTTCATGCTAGAGTGATACATGAAATCCTGATTTGCTTCCTCTTTCTTCCTAATATCTGAATGCTTTCATATTGATTTTCAGAAAAGCGTTAGCTAATTCACAGAGAGGTTTTTGTGTAGGACCTGAATAACCTTACGCGTGGTGCAACGCTGTTACTCATCTTCTTTCACAGGCAGTTTAATGAGCAACACATGAAAGCACAGAATCTATTCTCACGGAAAAGTTTGAACAATTCAAAACAATCTCAGCATCTATTCATGTTACGGTATTCCTCATGGTGTTGAGAAACACCAAGTTTATACTTTCAAAACATCAGGATCATGCCTGGCATACAAACCTTAACAAATGTTAGAAGTTATTATTATCATCTATATTGTTATAATCAAGTCTTTAACAAGGTTTAGTTTTTTTTCAGTACAACCATAATTTGTTTTAATATAGGCATATTAGTATTTACTATACTTTCCTTCTTAAAGTACTGTCTGTAGGATAACACCACTGAATTTGCAAGATGATGATATCCTATAAGCTTTCATTTTCTAAAGTGTAAATAAGTATGGCTTCAATCACAGTCATTCTTAGTTTGCACTATTGTCTGTAAATGGGCTTTATAGCTAAAGCATATTGGCTCGACATCAGAAAAAAATCGTAAATGGTTTTTGATGGCTCTTTGCAAAATATAACCAATTATTGATTTGAAATCCTGCTTAGCCACAACAGAATACTCTGTAATCAATTACATTTGGAGGTTTAACCTATAGATAGAAGACATGAAAAAACTGAGTTAATGACTTTTTCAACTGGCCCAACGATATCCCTGGGGGGCAAAATGTAATCCTCAGGACTGTTGGTAATTTCCAATTATTGCTGCCACACTTGCTGTTGGGGGCAGAGCTTCCTATGACTGCGCCAACAGGCTACTCTAGACCATCACTTATGTTTCCGCAATAAAAGACCAATGCAAGCCATTTTTTTCCTCTCTTTTCCAAATACTACTGATCTTCCTATTTCCATGGTAACCGACTCCTGCTGGCATGATCAAGAAAAACCTGATTTGGGATTTTAATTAATTGCTTAGAAATGGAAATGTAACAGGGACTGGCAGTTCAGCTAAGCACATTTTGCAAAGTGAATAAAAATAGAGATTCTGAAATACTTGAAATTGTTTCAGTGGCTGTAGCACATCTTTTGCTAGACACCTTAATTTATTCCATTCTCCAAAATAAATCTGCCAAAAGTACTAAGCCATTTTGTCAACACAAATCATTTTGGCAAATACTTTAATCCCTCTTCTAAACAAAATGCATTGTAATTTAAAAAATCTAACCCATCGGTGTGAACCCACTGGGTCCCATCTAAGAATACTCCTGAGACTTTAGTAGATCATGTTTAAAGGAGTTGTCATCTCCTATTTGCAGGATAGTCCCTGTTCTTGTTGCCTGCTTAGGAGTAAATTCCTTGAACCTCACCATAGCAGTGGCTTCTACCTATTAGAGAAATGAAAGCTTTAAGGTTAGTTTTTTTTGTTGTTGTTGTTGTTAGTTTTTTTTCTTTGTTTTTTTTGCAGACAGATTAAGAGCATGGGCTCTGAAGCCAGACTGATAGCTTAAACTCTCGGTACCTGTATTTACTAGTTGTATTACCTGGAGTAAGTTTCATAACCAATCAGAACTTAAGTAAAGTTCCTCATAGATACACCTCTTCACATACCTTACAGCAATACCTCTTCCTACACACAAGATAACAATAGGGTCAGCATTTATAAGGTTGCAGTGAGGATTATATATGTTAATAGATGGAAAATCCTACAACAATGCCTAGAGATAGTAATAGATTTAGTAAATATATTATTAATCTTAAATTTGTATCTTAGCCTATCCATATGCAAACTCTATTTCGAGTTTCTTATAATACTTGGTTTTAAATATTCCCTTTAAAACTACAACACATCAAGAATTTTTTAAAAACAGGTATTCCTTACGAAGTGTGACCTGTCATTTCTTTAGAGAAATATTAACTCTTGCTATAAGGTACATAAAACAATGCCATCTAGGGCAAAATAGATTTTTTTTAATATTTAAAAGTAATGCTGGGCGCGGTGGCTCACGCCTGTAATCCCAGCACTTTGGGAGGCCGAGGCAGGCCAATCACAAGGTCAAGAGATGGAGACCATCCCGGCCAACATGGTGAAACCCCGTCTCTATTAAAAGTATAAAAATTAGCTGGGTGTGGTGGCAGGCGCCTGTAGTCCCAGCTCCTGGGGAGGCTGAGGCAGGAGAATCGCTTGAACCCAGGAGGCGGAGGTTGCAGTGAGCCGAGATCACGCCATTGCACTCCAGCCTGGGCGACAGAGCGAGAGGCTGTCTCAAAAAAAAAAAAAAAAAAAAATTTAAAAGTAAAAATTTCTACAATAACAAGAAGAGGAGTGATGCAATTTCAAGGTGTTTCTGGAATAAGCAAAACCCTTGCTTGATTTGCAAGTATTTTAGTTATTCAAAGGTAACAAATTATCGTAGGCACAAAGGACAATAATAGTAATTAAATATTATTTATTGATGTAGTTGATGAAATAATCTGATTCAGTGTTCTTGTACATATGGTGTCAGGCGCCTGTAATCTCAGCTACTCGGGAGGCTGAGGCATGAGAATCACTTCAACCTGGGAGGCAGAGGTTGCAGTGAGCCAAGATCATGCTACCTCATTCCAGCCTGGGAGATAGAGCAAGGCTCTGTCTCAAAAAAATAAAATAAAAATAAATAAAAATAAAAAAATTGCCATAGCTTGTACGCATATATATATATATAAACATGTACATATTGTACCATAGGTTTGAGAAATTTATATGATAAGCCATAATAGCAAAGATAATATATTGAAAATTACTTGGAAAAATAACTCTAATTAAATACAGCCTCCCTCACTTATTAACTGAGATCCTTGATCAACACTTTTGAGTATGAGTTATTCCACCTTTACTATCATCGCCGTTATTAAACAATAATAAGAACAAACTTATATGGAGCTAGATGCTGTAAGGAATAAAACAGGAGGGTGAATATTATGTTGTGCTTACTATAGAAAGGAACCTGAGATCTCTTACTGTAGAAAGTAATGTTCACAAACATTACAGGCAACGGAAGCAAGGGGAACAAGATCGGAAAGTATTAAATGTGAGTCAGATATGGAACTAACTATTGTTCAAGCATTGGTTTCATTTTTAAAGCCATTTCTCAGAGTAAATTCCATTCACCAGTGAGCATATTTCTGACCTCAAAGATCAGGGAACTCCTCTGGCTGTACATTCCCACAGCATCCTGTCCTCACAACTGTGGCACATTCATCACACTTGTAATTGCCTGTCCAGTGTGGCTTTCTCACTAAATTATCTCCACAAGGCTCAAGATAATCTTTTCTCGTTCATTTTTGCACCCTGAACGTAGTGTCTGGAAGAGAATAGAGATTGAATAAATGTTTATGTGAAATTGAAATTAAGTATTAACTGGTCTCCAAAATCTATATTAGAACATAGTCATGCCTAGCAATCATACCATGTATGATTCTCATCTCTCATGAGAAGATACTGTCCATGTAGACCAGCTTCTAGAATAGGGCCTGTTGCATAATAGGCACTTAAAATACTTGGTGAATGAATGAGTAAATGAATGAACATGAAACATAGAAAAATGTTGTCAATATTAGAAAACTTAATCCACGCTATGAAGTGAGAAGTAATACACCACAGCCTAGATAAAAAGTAAATTTCTTATTTTCTCCATCCTATCAGTATTGCACTTAATTCCTTTTATCTATAAACATATGGATTGAGGACATATTCTCGGGCATTTATGGTGACTTGGAAACCATATCACTCTTATGATTGTCCCCTGAGCAATACCTCTTCCCACACACAAGATAACAATAGGGTCAATAAATTATATTATTGGCTTGTCCTGCAACCTTTGTCTTCTACCACAACAACTGAATTTGGACTTCTTCTTCACATTATTTATGGATGTCTGTTCCTTTTCTAATACTATAAACTGCTTGAGATGCAACTGCCAACAACCTCAGTCATGGCAATTTTTTGTTTTGTTTTGTTTTATTGTTTAATTTTTGTATATGCCCAAGTCTGTGACTAGAGTAAGCATGAAACATGTCATGGGTACAATGAACAAATGATCTTTATCATAGTAGTAATAATAATAGCTAGTGTCTATTCAATGTTACTATGCATTCTCTTATTTAATCCCTAAGACCTTATTCATTCTATTATTCTTTTACAGATGAAGTAACTAAGACTTAACAGAGTAATGAGATTCTGCTAAGTTCCCATAACTAACAAACTGCAGATCTGGAAATCAAACACAAAGAAACTGGCTTCAGCCAGGCTCATTGGCTCATAGTGGTAATCCCAGCACTTTGGGAGGCCAAGGCAGGCAGATTGCTTGAGCCCAGTAGTTCAAGACCAGCCGGGGCAACATGGCAAAACCCTGTCTCTACAAAAAGCACAAAAACTAGTCAGCAGTGGTGGCACAGTTCTGTAGTCCTAGCTACTTGGGAGGCTGAGGTGGGATAATTGCTTGACCCCAGCATGTTGAGGCTGCAGTGAGCCATGCTGGGTGATAGAGCCAGACCCTGTCTCAAAAAAACAAAACAAAACAAAACAAAAAACAGACAGAGAGAGAGACTTGCTTCAAAGTCCACCCATAACTAATAGACTATGTATTAGTCTGTCCTCATGCTACTGATAAAGACATACCTGAGACTGAGTAATTTATAAAGGAAAGAGGTTAAATGGACTCACAGTTCCACATGGCTGGAGAGGCCTCACAATCATGGTGGATGGTAATGAGAAGAAAAGTTACATCTTACATGGCAGCAGGCAGGGAAGAACTTGTGTAGGGAGACTCCCATTTATACTTATTCACTACCACAAGAACAGTACAGGGGAAAGCATCCCCATGATTCAGTTATCTCCACCTGGCCCCACCCTTGACTCATGGGGATTATTACAATTCAAGGTGAGATTTGGGTGGGGACACAGCCAAACCATATCAGGCTACGTTGCCAGATACAAATGTTAGCTTCCTCTATCTCTGCATTTAATTTTCTGTATTCAAGAAGACAATGATGCTATGTAATAATAATATGTTATGTTATATTGTATATCATGTATAAGATGCAGTATATGCATTTTATATAAATATATAACTGATTCTTCCTGAGTTTCCCATCCTGGCTGGTTCTGAGTTCTTCCTAATTAGGTAAAATCACTAAACAGGGTTTCACATCAAGCTGAAGCTCTCCTGAATAACTTTTGTTATAATTATCACTGTGAATTTATTTGAGTACTTGATAATATCTTTCTCCCTTATCTATAATATAAATGCCATGAGGAAGGCATCTGTTTTCATTTCATTTCTATCCCTAATGAGAATACAATATTTGGCCCACAGTTGGCACGTGACAAACACTTGTTGCGTGAATGAGTGAATAAATGAATGGTTGAATCTACAAGATCAAAAGAAGTGGAACTTTAGATCTTATCCCTATTTTCCCCTGTAAGAGTATTTCTCAGAATTTGAGTGCCTTTGCCCTCCCTGAACCTTTGCTGTGATGAAGGAAGGGTTGCAATGAGAAATCTTAAGACAATTTTGGCATTAAAGAAGGCATCAGCTCTCCCATTTCAGTCATGATGGGTCTTCTCATCTCAATTTCCCCCAAACTTGCTTATTGATACAAGGATATAGGTGGTATATAGTGTTCTTTATGTTTACCTTAAAACATTTGTATAAGTTTAGGGATGTAAGTGTAGTTTTGTTACATGGATATATTGCTGGTGAAGTCCAAGCATCTAGTGGAACCATCACTTGAATAATGTACACAACACCTGTTTTGCAGTTACTCATCCCTCATCCCGCTCCTACTCTCCCACTCGTCTGAGTCTTCTATGTCTATTATTCCACTCTCTATGTCCATGTGTACACATTATTTAGCTCTCGCTGATAAGTGAGAATATGGAGTGTTTGACTTTCTGTTTCTGAGTTATTTTACTTAAGATAATGGCCTATGGTTCCATCCATGTTGCTGCAAAAGACATCATTTCATTCTTTGTATGGCTAAAATTATTCCATGGTGTATATTTACATTTTCTTTATCCAATCATCTGTTAATGGACACTTAGGTTGATTCTACATCTTTGCTATTGTGAATTGTGCTGCGATAAATGTCTAAGTGCAGGTATCTTTTTTATATAATGATTTATTTTCCTTTTGGTAGAAACCCATTGTTTACCTTTTAAAAATAACTTTATTAAAGTAAAATTAACATGCAAAAATCTGTCCATGTGTAAAGCATACAATTAGATGTTTTGACATAAGTATACATCCATGTAACTGTCACCAAAATTATTTATTGAATGTACTCATCACCCAAAAATTTCCTCCTGCCCCTTTGTAAACTCTCTTCCCACTACTTCCTACCCCATCCCCAGGCAACCACTGATCTGCTTCCCACCATTACAAATTAGCTTGCATTTTCTTTCACTCAATATAATCATTTTGAGATTCTTCAATGTTGTATATAATCATAATTAATTCTTTTTATCACTAAACAGTATTCAACTGTTTGTGCATTCATCTGTTGATGGACAATTAGTTTGCTTCCAGTTTCAGCTATTACAAATAAAACTTCTATAAATATTTATGCACAAGTATTTGTTTGGAAATGTACTTTCATTTCTTTTGGGTAAATATCTAGGACTTAAATGGCTAATATAGACTGTAAGTGTACTTAAGAAATTTCTAAGCTGTTTTCTAATGTGGTTGGACCATTGTTTAAAATCTTAACATTTTAAAATCTTACAATATTTTACTTTAAATGGTGTTTTTCCAAGATATACTCTACCCACCTTCTCATATTACTTAGTCTATCATACACTAAAGAAAGATAAAAATGCATTTTATTTAACCATATAATTAAGTAGTTTTAAATTCCGAAACAAAAGTTTGATGGAACACATTCAAATTATTGTGGAACAGGTGTTTTAATATCTTTGAATTGTCCAATCACCATAATTATCCACTTTACCGTCCATGTTGAAGCAACCTTCAATATTAAATGATATAGAAGCGCTCTGCATGAATTTGGCAGCAAAAAACTATAACACATCTCAGTGAGATCATTTATTTAATTTGGTAAATCAACAGTGTATGAGGATTATCAATGAATTTAACTGCAGTACATAGAGGAAAATTGAGTAAGAGCTTTAAAGAATCAAAATTATTGGATATATTTAATGACTTGCAATCTAGCTGTTTCACTTCTACGGTCAGGAGGTAGAAAACATATCTCAAGAAGAATTTTAAAGCGAACTCTAAAACACACTGTGAAGACACATGTAGATGATAAAGCTACTGAAATTCAGAAAGAATCAAATCAGACCTCATTGCTGTCCCCAACTGATAGAAAATATAAAATTAAAAATACTCTGTCGCAAGGACAAAACACCAAACACCACATGTTCTCACTCATAGGTGGGAATTGAACAATGAGGACACATGGACACAGGAAGGGGAACATCACACACCGGGGCCTGTTGTGGGGTGGGGGGAGGGGGGAGGGATAGCATTGGGAGATATACCTAATGTTAATGATGAGTTAATGGGTGCAGCACACCAACATGGCACATGTATACATATGTAACAAACCTGCATGTTGTGCACATGTACCCTAAAACTTAAAGTATAATATAAAAAAATTAATAGATTATTTTTACCAAGAGAATACAATAAGCCTCTATGAGTCTATGACATAAAGAAATGGATGAATGAATGAATGAATGAATGGGAAATAACAGCTCTCCCAATGAATAAATGTAGAAAGAAGATGGAAATATGAATTCACCAATAGGATACCACAGTAATAATTGTTGCAGGCAAGATGTGCCAATGAAAGCCAAAATTCATGGGTAAAACTTTGAGGAGAAAGATTATATGTGCCTAGTGCAAAATTATCACCCTCAAGATACCCATTCATTGCTAAAGGAAAAATAGTAATTTTAAAAATGGAAACACCTGGAAGATGCCATCTCAGCCAAGTGATCAAGATTAAAATCACCAGTAATAAGACATATTGACATCCCACACTACCTGATTTGATACACTAAGAAGGGCTTATCATTTCTGTGGTACTCTTGGCCAACAATGCACGTGTAACATTTATTCATTGAAACACATTAGGCAGAATTGCAGGACATTCTTCAAAATAGCTGTCCAATACTCTTCAAAAGTGTCAGGTCCTGGAAGACAAAGAGATACTGAGGAACCATCACAGAGTGGGAGAGGACATAGAGTGATAAAAACTAACTGTGATGTGGAATCCTACATTGGATCATGGACCAGAAAGACAGCACTGATGGGAAGACTGATGAAATCTGAATAAGTCTGTAGTTTGGTTTAAAGAAGAAGAATAATAACAATAATGGTTTAGCTGCTGGCTCCTTAATAAAATTCCCCTAGTTACTGTAATGTCTGAAAATGAACCCCCTATGGTGGGCTACTGTGACTGTTCACTGCATTTGAGAATAAAGAATAATTAAGGAAAAAAATACTCTGTCAGCCTAGGCAATATAGTGAGACTCTATCTGTACAAAAAAAAATTTAAAAAGATAATAAGCAGGGTGTAGTGGTGGCACCTGTGGTTCCCAGCTACAGGGGAGACTGAGGTGGGAGGATCACTTGAGCTCGGGAGGCTGAGGTGAGCTATTATTGCATCTCTGCACTCCACCTGGGTGACAGAGCAAGACCCTGTCTCAAAATATAAAAAATAAATAAATGCTAAGGTCAATAGGTCTACAATTCTTCTGGCGATGAGTCATCTCACTTGCAAAATCGGTTTGTGGACTTGGCAGGAGTCCAGTTCAGGTTGTTCATCTTCATCGTTTTTCTTGTTTTAGGGGGGTCACTGCCAAAAAGTGGGTAATGAAAAGAGTTAAGGTCAAAAGAGCTGCATCTTCAAAGCAAGGAAGCTACTCTTCAGAGAATAATTTTCTGGACAATTGAAAAAAAAATGTCTAAAGATACACAAGATTTTTGTGTGTTTATATTCCCTGTGAAAGAAGCTCTTGAGAGCAAAACAAAATGAAAGAGAGCCTTTGCTTCTTGAGGTGAAAGAAGACAGTTCCTGGAAAGAAGAGGCACTGTAATTCCCGGCAACACCTCCGGTTTGGTCACCATTTAATGAAGAACACAGAGCCTGTTGACTACCGACACCAGGTATAAACTGTGTTCATTTGCAGCTTTGTTAGCGCCTTTGTCAAGAGTACATTCATATAACGACATTATCAGATAATGCATTTGAACAAGAAACTAATGGTGGAAAAAAACAACTGGACAAGGTGAACAAGACTTGCCCACATGTAAATGATTCTGGGAAATAACATTAATAGCTTCATATTTTTAATAGCAGTCACTTTAATATTTTTAGAGTCTATGATAAATATCACACTTGAAATCCCAGCACTTTGGGAGGCTCAGGTGGGCTGATGTCTTGAATCCAGGAGTTCGAGACCAGCCTGGACAACCTGGGGAAACCCCATCTCTACAAAAAATGCAGAAGAAATTATTGGGGTTTGGTGGGATGTGCCTGTAGTCTCAGGTACTCAGGAGGCTGAGGTGGGAGGATCGCTTGAGCTCAGGAGGCCGAGGTTGCTGTGATCCAAGATTGCACCACTGCACTCCAGCCTGGGCAACAGAGTGAGACCCTTTCTCAAAAATAAATAAATAAATAAATAAATAAATAAATAAATAAATAAAGTGTATTTATTAACCATACACCTTATTTTATTTTAAAGTGTATGATTAAATTTTAAAATAAAATAAAATGTATGGTTAATAAATCAATTTTGTAAGGACACCCATAATTTGAAAAAGCGAACTACTATACACACATAGCCTTAATTGAAATCTTCATAAAATGCATTCTTTGAATAACAGCATCAATTTTGGTAAGTGGCAAATATTAAAGAAATAGAAGTTAGCCAATTACCAAAAAAGGAAAAGACATGAGTGATGCCCAGAAATGACAGCAAAAGCCGTTGAAGATGTAAAATGTTTTTAATGCATAATCTTAGTTTTTATGCAAAGGTGTACATGAAAGCTCATACAGTATTAAACATGTGCAACAGTGTATTTGTTTCTATGTGTGTGTGCATATATATACATATATGCATCCATGCTACACATATATAATTCCAACCTCAGTTTCACCAAACTGTCCTCATCCATGATGAGAAGCAAACTGTAAGATGAAGTTGTAATCATGGAGATTAACAGTATGTTTTCACCCTGTTTTTAACCTCCCCTTAATTTCCTGACATAGCTTTTGGTTTCACTCTACTCTTTGACCTTTGGATTTCTGAACTTTATTTTACCTTTTTTGTTTGTTTGTTTTCTTGGAAGGGTTTTAACCTACTGGGGCCATTGTCATTTACAGGAAGCTACAGGAAGCATGTGTGTCTGCCTCTGTGTGTGGGAGAAGGGGACAAGCTGCCGCGTTAGAATAGAGACGAGGAGGCAAGGGAATGGGCATTTTGGACGTTGCCTGCATGCTAAGCCCAGGGGCAGAATGGACTTAATTACTTAAATATCTATCTCTAAAATTCTACTTAAAACATTTAAAAGCACAGATATTGTTTCTTTCTAGAGTTACCATTTGACCTGAACTTTCTACTGTGCCCAATAAAATAGAAAAGGCCTAAATGTAACTTTAGGATTCAAATAGTAAGGATATTCATCTTTAATGTTTTACTGCTCCTAAAAATGACACATTTTCTACCAAAAGTAGCTTCTTGTTTGGAATGAAAAAATTTTCTTTGCTATTTGTGTGTGTGTGTGTGTGTGTGTTTATTCCACTTTTTTTCCTCTAACAAATATTTTCAAAGTCAAAGAGAGGGATTTTCATTTTAGATGACGATTAACCCATTGTGAGAGAAGGCTTGACAGTTCAAAGACAATTTGTCACCAAGGGTTGAGGTTGGCATGAGTTACAGATTCTCCAGGCCCCAATTCGTGTCCTTGATCTACCTCATCTGTTTCCTTTCTTTGCCTTGACTCACCATAAAACGAGTCCTTGATAAATTTGGGGTCAGTGAAGGAGACTGCTTAGTTTAATGTGTCAAGAGAAATTCCTGATTTCCATTCCAGACCACTTGTGGAGCTGTTGCCCTTTTCTTGCAGTATAACTTTCCGACTTACACAAAAGTGGCTATCATGCTATGGATTGCTGACTGTACAATATAGCATTAATTTTAAAGTGGAATATCCTATGACACTGCTTTCAACAGTCAGTATTATTTGATGTTATCTTTTAGTCTTCCAGTATAAAAAGACAGTAAGAACCTGGCTCTACCTGGAGTTAATAACTAAAAATTCAATATACTCCTGCAAGATATAAATGTGTTAGTCTTTCTGAGAAAGATCAAACTAATTTAAGAACTCCCCTCATATTGAGAACAGTTCACAGAAATTTACAGCTGCTTCTTTCCGTGAGATAGGATCTCCTGCTTCAGTGTATGTGCTGAAAGCCAATTAAAACATTACATACCTTGAGGATATTAATATGAAGCAAAAGAAAATGACTGATGGGAAGGTCAAAGCAGACTTAGCAAAGCAAAAGCAATGTCCAGTAAAGAATAACCTGTAGACCTCCTACAACTCACCAACTTCCTAAAATTTATTATATAAATGTGGACAATGATAGCTGGGCTCTTTTCCAACTCTTAAGTTTCTGGACAGTCAGTTCCTTTATATGAGCAAAATTCTTGGGAGACAAACTCTATTCTATATTCCCACTAGGACAATGACTCCAGGTATCTCGCTTCAGTAAGGATGCCAGACTCAGAGCCTATTGGAATGGCCAGTATGGCAGGGCGAAGAGTGTTCTATCACCAACTGGAGTAGAATGAATTCAGATTCTAGGTAAAAGTTTTCGGTAGCCACAGAAGGCATTGGCATTCTTAAACAAATTAACTGTGTTGACATTCAGTCTTCCTTGAAATAATTGAAAATTTATATGATCCATGATTATTGTTTTGTTTTTTTATGAAGTCCTCCACATTAGCACATGAACCTTTGGAAAATAACCACATAGACTCAAGCAATCAGTGCTTTGTTAACACAGCTGAGAACAGTGGGTGGGCCATTTTTTTTCAGGTGAGAAAAAGCAGGCTGAGAACTGAACAGCTCCAGTCGCTTCTGTTTGTTTGAGGATCTTATCCCCAGGGCTGTGTTCTCTTGGCTGGGCATACCTGTTGATCACGCTGCTTAACTGTAATTATTCCAGACAGCTTTTTGGCTCACATTGTTGTTTCATAGGCTTCATAAATCATACAAATTATTACCGCAATAGAAAACTATAATTACCCACAAACCCTGACATGCCAAAATGTGTATTAATTAGATAAGGTAATAAATACTTTACTGCACATGGCTATAATCATTACTTCAAAAATGACATCTATACATATGCCATCTTGATATTCTGCAGCAAATGATTCAATATAATTTTCAGTTCATAACAGAATTGTTATCTAATTTGATTAATTAGTTAATGCTGTTCCAAGGTGTTTTAAGTACAAAAAATGATGTAGAATTGTTAAGTTTCAAGCTTAATGTTATGATCACATGAGATGCAAACTATAATTTGTAGAGAAATTTCTTATGGGGATAATTTATTGAAGTGTATATTTCTTAGTTCTAAATTTGGGTTAACATAGGATGTTTCTAGAATAATGATCACTATTAAAATTTTGCTCATCCCATTTCTCTAAGGGTTTAAAATAATTAATTCTTTATTTCAAAAAATAATGAAACTTTATATTTGGTAGGAATAAGCATAATGTTCCGAAATGTATACTTTCTATGCGCTAATCAAGCCTTACATTTCAATGTGGAAAGAAATTCCAAGAGTAGACTTGAAAGAACATATTAAGTCAGTGTGCTCTCAGATAAATATTCAGTACATAATACATTGTCCTTACATCTTTAGAAAGATGTGTAACTTCAGAATTATAAGATAATATGGAGTAGAGCACTGCAACTACATTCAAGACCCTATTATGTCCCCATATATTCAACCAAACCTACTGATTTTTGAATCAGTTTTTTTAATATATGCAGAAGAACTGGATCTTATTTTTGATGCTATAAATGTCGTATATATAGCAACAGTTCTATTTGTATTTCAACTGATACACCTGAAACAATGCATTCAAGTAAAAGTTTTGTCCTGAAGAATAAGAAAAGACATTAAATTTCATAGAGATGAGAGATAAGTCAACTAAACTACTACTGAATTAAATATGTTCCAGAAAACATTAACACTGGTGCATTTTATTTGAGTAGAGGTATTCTTAAGGGACCTTTAATATGAAGAAATAAAATATAAGTGCTTCATATTTTCCTATTTAGATGATTATCTCCATGAGTCATTTAAAAATGAATTCAGAGACAATTGATTCACATGTCCTCATTTTACCAATATTGGGAAATGATTAGGGAGTGTCATGAAAAGGAAATCATGTTGAAGATAACATATTAGCTATTCCACTGCAAAGTCCTTTCAAAAATAATGAAAAAGATTCTGTAATGGAGACAGTAAAAGTAGAACAACTGTGCAACAATTTTTCTGCAACTAATCTGCTTCTCAATGTCTAACATTGTGCCTAGCATATATTAGGCATCCATTAAGTATGGGTTGAATAAATACATGTGATCACATAAAATTTATCCAGGAGGTGAGGAGTTAATTAAATGACATTGTACTTTATCAAGTAATAATATCATTATAACAGATGACTTTGGTGAAATGAGAATAATTCAAAGATGCTGCTAATTCAGAATGAAAAATAATACCATAAAATATGGAAAGAATGAGGAAGGAAGCATTTAAAGAAGATTTTGTTTTAAACACTCAAAATCAAGCTGATATCATGGGGATTCATTTGTCCAAAATCTTTTAGTACATCACTGAAAAGGCAGAACACTAGTAATAAAAGATGCGAAACTGTGCAAACGTTATATCCCAATATCTTAGCATATCCCATATATGGAATTATCTATAAATATAGAAAGAAAATTTGCAAATCTGTAGTTTATTGGGCATTTTTTAAAAGAGAAGATATAGGAATTTTAGAACATGAGCCAATTCTAAGGTAGCATTTTTCTACTTAGACTGTCTTGTGGTCAGTATCATGCTGGCTGTTGTAGAATGGTGCAATCCAAAAGAAATCCATTAATAAAAAAACACTATTGATAATTCCAGCTTCTGTTTCTGTAAATAAGTCATATTAGGTTGTTTACAACAATCTTCCTACTGAAAACTAAAAGGGATACTAGATAGTTTTTTAATATAATTTAATTTTAATTTTAATTTCTGAGATGCAAGTGCAGGTTTGCTACATAGGTAAACGTGTGCCCTGGTGGTTTGCTGCACCTATCAACCCATCACCCAGGTACTAAGCCCTGCATGCATCAGCTATTTATCCTAATGCTCTCCCTCCCCCTGCGCCCCCAACAGGCCCCAGTGTGTGTTGTTTCCCTCCCTGTGTCCATGTGTTCTCACTGCTCAGCTTCCGCTTATAAGAGAACATACAGTGTTTGGTTTTCTGCTCCTCTGTTAGTTTGCTGAGGATAATGGCATAAATGTTCTTTAGAAGCATCAGACAGCCATTAGATTAGTTAAGAAATAACCAGGCCAGAATCTTAGAGCGGTAACCAGAGGAGTAAGTGGCATTCTGAGGACATAGGTTAATTCAGAAAAACTTGAACTTCAGGGCAAGAGAGACAGAGACCAAGTCTCTGCACCTATCCAATATGTACCATCCACTGGGAGGCATCCATCCTACCTTAAGCAGGGCTCTGAAAGAACTACAACTTCAGGGAAAAACTGAAGTTGCACAGAAGTCAGCCAGCCTCGTCATGCTTGGAGAACTACAAGTTTTCTTGCAGCTGAGTCGAACAGGAGAAAAGGAGGGAATCATCGTATATTGATTCTATCTAAGACAGACTCATCTTTTGTTGTCACATGTCAAAGTTATGACATTGCAAATCACATCTGGAAATCTCAACATAGAACTGATTTTACACTTTTCAGTACTCCTATTTACTTTCCCAGGAAAAAATAATTGATTCAACCTGTCAATCAACCACTTGCTCCGTAGATAGCCATTAAATGCCTTTTCTGCAAAGTACTATGGGGCACAAAAAATTGGAGAGTACCTTCTCATCTTCTCACATTGATCTCTCATTTTCCGGCATTTAAGCCCAATTGTTTCAGGGTATGACAAGACTTCAAATAACATATACATTAAGCAAATTTTCCTAGTTTCATGGGATTAATCTTATTTACTGTTAGGAATCACCTGGATTCTCAGGTCCCAATTTCACAAATGCCATACCTTCTGCCCATTAGGTTAGGCACTTGTGGGGATTTATGGAAATCCAGATATAATAAAATCCATGTAATTTAGGCAGCCCAAGAAATAGTGACGTATTTATTGTGAAGAAGTAGTTTAGGTACTGGCCAGAATTTGGGTTCACAGTGAAATAAAGACCTTTATTATAAGCTCAAAATGAGACTCAAGAAACTGTAATAAGTGGAATTTCAAAATCTAGAAGATCAAAGATTTTATATTAATATAAACATAAATTTCATCATTAAATATGTATTAATTGAGCACCTAATTTGCATCAAACACAATGCTAGACAACCCAGTAATTAATAGAGAAGACAAGGATAAGTTTTTTTCCCAAACAAAATTGCCTATTCAAAAGAGGTTTATGTAATAGACATTTGTCATTCAGCCTCATAGTTAATTATTGAGACAATTTTATGTTTAAACTAAACAATTATGAATCATGTGCCTATTTTTGTTCATCATTATATCCTCTATACTTACATAATATTTGGTGCTTAGATAATAATCAATGTTTGATGAATGAGTGAATGCATTAAATAATAAAGGAATAAAAAGAAAGCCTCTTTCAGATAATGGCACTCACCTATAAACCTTTAGAAACACTTATATTCTATTGGAGGATTAATGAAAAAGAATATTGTAATTACTTAAATTCCATCTGATGATGGCCGATATTGCGGTTCTTTATGTTTATTATGTTAATTCTAAATGATTATCTATTTCATAATGCCATACCTGGTAATTGCTGAAATGATTTATGATTTCTGATGAAGCTTATCTATTTGGAGGGGTTAAAAGAAAAACAGCATGAGACTATGAAAATAAAAAAGAAGAAAGACATAGTTTGTCATTCAGTTTTATGTGAGCTGAATGGTTTATAGTGAGAAACTGTTGGATGCAATTTCAGTAAGCAAGGATTTTGTGGAGAGATTAGATCAGTTACAAATTGCTAAATCTGATGGCTTAGATAAAAGTTTTACCAGAGGCTTTAAAAGAAGTAGAACATGTTTTGGGGAGAAGCAATTGCCTTCTGGAGAATGCACTTATATCTATCTATCTATATCTCTTTCTATATATAGATGTATAGATATAATTTTTATTATGCTTTATTTTATTATAATTTTTATTATACTTTAAGTTCTGGGATACATGTGCAGAACGTGCAGATTTGTTACGTCGGTATACACGTGCCATGGTGGTTTACTGTACCCATCATCCCGTCATCTACATTAGGTATTTCTCCTAATGCTATCCCTCCCCTACCCCCGACCCCCTGACAGGCCCCGGTGTGTGACACAGGCCCTCCCTGTGTCCACGTGTTCTCATTGTTCAACTCCCAGTTATGAGTGAGAACATGCGGTGTTTGGATTTCTGTTCCTGTGTCAGTTTGCTGAGAATGATGGTTTCCAGTTTCATCCATGTTCCTGCAAAGGACATGAACTCATTCTTTTTTATGGCTGCATAGTATTCCATGGTGTGTATGTGCCACATTTTCTTTATCCAGTCTATCACTGATAGGCAATTGGGTTGTCATAGTATATATTTTTAACAGCAAATTAAATGTAGACAGATTGTGTAACTAGATCCGCAATTAGAAGAAAATGATTGAATCTTCAGGTAGGACAGACAAATCATCTTTATATGTGTATAATGCATAAATACATAGATATAAGTAAATATCCTGTGTGTTCCTTTTTAAAGTACCTCCCTGCTATGCTAGATCACTAATATACAAAAGATCTAGCATATAAAAGGCCTAACATTTTTGTTTGATTTTGTTTTTCTTCATCTTTTCTGTTCTTGGCTTGGAAATAATCTTGAGGTGATCTCTCATCTCACCCATTAAACCGTGTGGGGCTAACAGGAAGGAGTACATGTCTTTAAATCTCTCTGAACACTTCAAGCATTCAACTGCATTGAGTCCAGTTTGAAAAGTTTTCAAAATGTTAAATGCAGTCACATTTTGAAAAGACAACCTCTCCTTGACTCCTTATTGATTTGTGGGTGTGTATGTCTGTAGGTCTGCGTGTATGTATGTTGTCTGACGATTGGAGAAGCAGGAAAAAGATTGCAAGAAAAGTCCAAAACCCATTTTTTCCTGAAGATCAGCCAAATAAGATGTCATTAAAATTGGGCAGTTGATCCTCAACTCCTAAGAATGCTCAAATCTTCCTAAAATTGTGCACAACTTCACATTTCACTCTTGAGCTTCGGCTTTGGCAGTTAAAATGCATTTATTATCATGAAAAATACCATTAATCTTTACTTTTAGAAAGCTTTTTAAAAACTATATTGTTATAAGAGATGCTTTGAGACTTTTAATCTATTGAACTAAAAAGATCAAAGACAACTAATTCAGACTTTTAGAGAATTTCAACTGTGATTAAAATTCAAGAAAAATATATTAAATATATAGTATTAAATGTCTAAGGAGACTTGAGATCATTTTCTGGCTGAAGCCCTTGGGCCAATTCCTAAAGCCCTATCTTGCCATGTTTGATTTTATGATATGTCCATAGCCTAGTATGTAGCTTACACATGCTCAAAATCAACATCAATCACATCTGTGCACATGATCAAATTCAAAGTACTACTGGGAAATGTAGATATTCCTAAAGAAAAAGAATGCAAATTTTGTCTTTAGAAAAACACTAAAGGTGTTTCACTGTATCTTCCAAGTCTTCTGAGTCAAGGACAAACAGGGTTAAGTGACATATCCATATCACTGAGCACAGGATTTAATTGTGGTGGTAATACTGATACTAACAATGTTAAAACCAACTACATTTTTCCCCAAGGGGTTTTTCTTTTCCTTCTTATTCTTCAGTTTTTAAAGTCATTAAAAGGTAAAACTAAGGTGCAGAAAACCAAAACTTTAAGTCCAGATGGTCTGTTTCATTTTGGAATGAGTTATCCAATCCTTAGGCTTGATTTTTCTCATGTGAAAAATCTCTTCTTAGGCTAAGATACGATGTCACTACCTCAGTTTGAGTTTTTCACAGAATTAAATTAGAACTGGAAGGAACTAATTTATTTAAGTCATCAGCTCATTCTGTAGACCACTGGCATTAGCTATGCAAAAATAGCAAAATATGCTATTTTGATTCACAACATGCCAGTTTTATAGGAGTGGCTGAATATCCCGGAGATGTCCAATGAACTCTTTGGTGGAAAGGGATGTGGCAGTCACCCAAATAGGAATCAGAGTGGTTTTAATGCTTCAATTTCCAGTTTATTTCAACATATGATGCATTTCCACTCCTGCTGCACTGGGGCTATTGGCCACAACAAGTAAGCATGAGAAGCCAGAGCTCAGATTGCCAAGGAAAAGTTGAGACAAATAAAGTTCATTGAGATAGAGTGTGTCTATAGTTACAGTAACAAGGCCTGTACTTGGGAGGGAATCAGGGAACCCAGGTAAATACAAGCAAACTGGAATCAAACCAGGCCATTCAGTTACATCCCACCAATGAGCTGCCAGAGCATGGAAGACAATTTCTGCCTTAGCCGTGAGGCCTCCTATGTGCTTCCTGCTGAGACAAGAACCAATTGCAAGAATTGTTCTGCAATTGAGTGCAGACAGTCCTCATTGCAGAGGTGTTAAGAGGATTAATCTAGTTTGAGTAAATGATGTGGGTTTATATCTAGGTGAGAGAATGACAATGTGTCACTCCTCTTGTGTGTTTTACAAAGGATGATCAGAAACAGGCTGATCTCACAAGTTAAGTCTGTGGGGCTAAAGGGCTGCCTTTGAAAGTACTTTGCAGCATGGCTATTTCTCCCATTAAATTCAAAGGTTATTCCAGAATAGCTCCATACTGGTCTGTACTTATGCTCTATGTATCTTCTCAAAAGAGAACTCAGCTAGGAGAATCCCCACTTGCAGACAACGTTTCTGCTCCCTGAGTTGGTGGCGAGCCTTCCTTAGAACTGGGAGGCTGAGCCAAGTTAGTCCCAGTGGGGAGTCAATTTGCCAGTTACACTGTCTCAGTCTCTAACCATTTCCAATCTAGGTAGTTGCAAATAGAAAAAGTTGAACTTTTGCAAAATCAGCAGGAGAGAGTCCCACCTAAGGGTGAGGCAAATTGAAATTAAGATTGTGAAATAGATGCCTTGAGCATCAATCAGAAATGTTTTTAAAGAGAAAGTGTGAATAAGGAAGACTTGAGGCTAGAGGACGCTTCATTTGTGTCAGACTCCTTTGGCAAGAGCTGTTACGTGTTCCAAAAATGAGGTCATGGGAGTTGGCAGTGGTGTCTCATATAGAATAAAGTTTGGGAGATATAGTGCCCTCAGAAACAAGAAGAATATTTATAGACATAATAGGAACTAATAACTTGATCTGGGCTTGATAAATTACCTTTCATCAAAGAGTTCAAATGTCCATCATAATGATTTTTTTTTACTCATTCTTGGGAAATAAAGGAAGACCCAATATTATTATATATAACAACAGTATTGTTATACAGCAATATTATATATTAATAATATATAATATTATGATACCTTTATTATATAATATATATTGTTAATAATAATAATGTTTTTAAGGAGAAAGAAATCAAGTTCAAAGTGATTTAGGAATTTACTCACACTTATACAATGAATCAAGGGCTAACCAGGCTCAGCCGGTTCAGAGTTTGGTGCCGTGGCTAAAGAGAAAGAATCTCATTGCTGGAAAAAAAAAAAGTCCCCCAGAGTTAAAATGATGTTCATTTTTCTAATCTCTGTGGCTCTAATCTATGCATCCACTTATCTCTAATATGGCTTTTTAAATTTTTCATTATACATAGTTGAAAATATCTTGAAAATATCTCTTTAAAACTCTGCTTATAATCAATAATCTGGGATACAGTGATAGAGTTAGAAAATCATCAATGAATATGCTAAAACCAGTAGTTCAAAGTTTGGTGAAGAAGAGGATATTTGCACAGTCTTAGAGCATCCCCTCAGAAACACACATTAGTCTCACAGTCTCCCCTCACAGTCTCTGAGTGTCTTCTCACAAATACATACAAAGAGGAAAATAGAGACTATGGTTGAGAAACCGAGTGGACAGCACATTTATCAAGCAACTACAACTAAAGTCATCAGTAATAGCAAACCA
Source organism: Homo sapiens (assembly GCF_000001405.40). Classification (NCBI taxonomy): domain Eukaryota; kingdom Metazoa; phylum Chordata; class Mammalia; order Primates; family Hominidae; genus Homo; species Homo sapiens. Next base: position 8,902,200 of record NC_000010.11, on the reverse strand, counting down.
AATTCAAGTGCCTCCTGAAATAACATACCGAGAAGGACACCACATCACATTTGTGGTATTCCTGTCCTCTTCCCAAAAACTGCATAATTTGAATCATATCATGAAGAAACATCAGACAAACTGAAATCGGAGTGCCTTATACAAAAATAATTGAACAATCTCCAAAAACGCCAAGGCCCAGAAAGACAAAGACTGAGAAATTGTTCAAGACTACATGAAACTAAAATCTCATGAAACTAAATGCAATGTGTGATTCTGGACTGGATCTTATTAAAAATATTATTGTCCAGGCATGTTGGTTCACGCCTATAATCTTAGCACTTTGAGAGGCCAAGATGGGTGGATCGCTTGAGCCCAGGAGTTCCAGACCAGCCTGGGGAACATAGTGAAACCTCATGTCTCCAAAAACTGCAAAAATTAGCCAGGTGTGCTGGTGTATGCCTGTAGTTCCAGCTACTTGGAAGGTTGGGGTGGGAGGATGGCTTGAGCCCAGGAGTTTGAGGCTGCAGTGAGCCACAGTCGTGCCATGGCAGACGGGGTGTCACTCCAGCCTAGGTGACAGAGTGAGACTCTTGTCTCAAAAAACAAAGAATTATTAGGACAATTAAAGACTTTGAATATAGACTGTGGATTAGACAATGTGTTATATATTTAACATTAGCAATGTTAAATTTCCTAATTCATGTAGTGGTGATATTGGAGAGTGCTCTTATTTTTAATAATACACACTGGAATATTTAGGGATAGAAGGTCATCAACACACTTTCATCTCAATTCTTAAAAGGGTTCTGAGAATTAAAAATATCGATATAGGATGCTAAGACAATGAAGCAAACTGTAAATAATTGGTCAATCAATTTATTTATTTGTTGACTATCTAAAGTCTAGGATATCTTCATAAGAAAGACTTGAAACATTCAACAAATTATTACCAATTCCCCAATTATGTGTCAAAAACTGCTCTAGAACTGAGGACATATTGGTGAGAAAAACACATAGAGTTACTCTTAGGGGCTTGACCATATTTACCTGTTTTCCAAAGCATTTGCTTAATATGAACTTCTCCATTTAAAATAAAATATGAAGTGGGATGGAGACCAGAGCCCTTTTTCTTGAGATAAATACCCTTATTTCTTGAATTCTAAAAGTAAAACCAAGTAACTGAATCAATGGAACAAGTCTTTACAGCCTGTTCACCTCCTAGCCCAGGTTCTGTGTCAAGCAGCAGTTCATGTTTTATATTTTCTCCCCTTGCTAAGAGGGATTCGTTTGATTGTTAAAGTTTGTAAGCGTTATTTGGCCGTGGTTCCTATCACATCCTCGATCTTGAAGCTTTGTTGTACTCAAGTGGAGGAAAGGACCCCATTAATTTATATGCCTTTTCCTCCACTAGCTCAACTCTCTGTACATAAACAGAAGTAATTTCGAGCAGTGGGGATTCAAGGATAATTTTTTAAAAAATTAAATCATTTCTTACCACAAATAAAAGACTCCACATAAGCATTACTCTCTGTAAAGTTCACACTCTGGACTCGTCATAAATAGTCTTTATTCAAAGCCCCATTTTGAAACTGTTTCATAGGATCAGTGATCATTTGTTATAAGATGACAAGATATAAAATTTTAATTAATTGGTCACAAGTAAGTAAACACATGAACCTGGTATTATTATTTTAAAATTATCTATTCATTGTTGGGTAACTTAAACAATTTACAGACGTCTATAGGTGTAAATATGTAGGTGCCATGGTTTACCAAATGTCCGTGAGGCAGAAAAGTGAATTTAGTGTAATGAGAAGCATTGACTTTTTAACTTTCTCATACAATATACTCAAAAAACAAGGCTTGTAAATGTAGACAATTTAGGTAGAGTATCACTCTGGCCACACTTGTAACATTTATGCATGCCTCTGTCAGAAGAGTAATAATAATTAGAGCCCAAAATAAGATGCATAATAATTACTATTATTATTCAACAAGCATTTATTGTCTTGAAAGTGCCATGAACTCTTCTGAATTCAGGAGATATAGCAAAATATATGCGGTAAGTCACTCTCGTGGTACTTAGAATTCAGTGAAATAATAGCTATCTGCTTTATTTTGTTATTTAATAACAAATTTAAAATGATTCATAATAGCAAAGTATTAATCTGAATATTGATCAAGTTTAAAATTATAATCTTCATAAAAATTCTAGGAGATACAAGATATAGCTATTTTATTTTACAGATGAGTAAACTGAGTACAAAGATGTCAAGTAACTTATGCAAGGTCATATAACTAGAAAGCAGCAGAATCAGGCTGGGCGCGGTGGCTCACACCTGTAATCCCAGCACTTTGGGAGGCCAAGGCGGGTGGATCATGAGGTCAGGAGTTCGAGACCAGCCTGGCCAACATAGTGAAACCCCGTCTCTACTAAAAATACAAAAATTAGCCGGGCGTGGTGGCACATGCCTGTAGTCCCAGCTACTCTGTAGGATGAGGCAGGAGAATTGCTTGAACCTGGGAGGTGGAGGTTGCAGTAAGCCGAGACCATGCCATGCCATTGTACTCCAGCCTGGGTGACAGAGTGAGACTCCACCTTAACTCAATTCTAGGGGAATTGGGAGACAAATGGGTAAAAACCCAGAATAAAGTGGAGGATTAATGCAGGAGATTCATGAGAAATTAGGTTGAAAAGTAGGTAGATTTAGACTACAAAGTACTGAGTGATAAACTAAAGGATTTTGTCTTTATCTTTTAGAAATCAGATAACTATAAAATATTTGGGGGAAAGGAATATGACACAATGGCCATCACTTCTCGGAAGATTAAAGTGGTAACTGTTGTGTAGAGCCTACTATAGTGGAGAGACTCAAAGGAAGTAAAGGCCAGGTAGGATATAGTCTAGAATTTAACCCAGAAATAAGATTTTTCACTTAGAGCAGTGGTGGTCACAGCAAATAAACTATAGTCAGCCAAAGGATGTCTGTCTAATTAAGTGAACTGAAGCAGCATACATTCATTTCAGCAATTACAATCATATTGACTCTGCCAATACATAGTAGAACTATGTAATATGGTTACATCATCATGAAGGTGTTCCCAATGATGAGATTAGCAATCAAATCATGCAACCAGTTACGATTCTCCTTTTCCTTTCTAGTTAGCTGCCTTGATGTTGATTTGCTATTTTTTTGTTTTTGGACTTTGGTGTGTCCTAAAAGCACCCTTTTATCAATTAACTATGCTCTAGGGAGTATGACTCAGAGGTATTATCTATGCAAGGAACAGGGAAGTGACAGATTGAGACTATTATCTGATTCAAAGAATCCACTACCGTAAGTGATATAGCCTAAATGAACTGAATGGTACCTGTAAATCAGCTTGAAAGATAATGTTCTCTGTACTCTACATTGTTTTGTTGTATTCTTTATAGGTTATTCCAGTTTTTTCCTTTTCTTCTCCTTCCCAAGTTTATGTTTCTCTCCTGCCTGTCACTGATTCTTCTATTTAAGGGTAGATACAGTAAAACAATAAAAATGGGTCAGCATTGAAATGTCTAAATAAATCTGGGGAAGGCAGTTGTAGAAGAGTTTCATATGGGAACTTGATGCACATTGTCCAGCATAAGGCTGGTATACAGGGAAGCTGAGTTTTCTGAAGTTAGCGACGTGTTAGAGTATAAAACATGATGCAGATGATGGTAACATTAGCAATGTCTGGAATAACTTTCTACATAGATGGGATTGGAGAAGTCCCACAGAGTTCCAGAGACTAGGAAAACCCCTCAGATAAATGTCCCATCTGCTTACTGATGCCTGAAATTATATAAGAAGAGTTTCATTTCTTACCCCAAGGCATTTGATTCCTGTTAAAATGCAACTCTTCTGGGTATGGCAATACTTTAAATTATTGCTCTACCCAAGGGCCGGGGAGTGGGGGAAAGATTATCAGAGGCTTTCTTTAAAGCAGATTTTGACAAGGAGAGGGATGTAGCCACTGGACCCTGGTGGAAAGCAGTGGAACAGTACAACCTTAATCGATAGAGGCCTAGGAGGGGTGGGAAAGGAAATAGAATGGATAAGAAGAATGCAAAATGCAACGGAAAGAACGGAAAGCATGTGAAAAGATCTTACTTTCTCTTCTGGTTCTGAGAATTGATATTGCTGGCTGAGACTGTCCTTTCCTTAGCAATTTGTATCCTTTGTTTAAAGTGTAGCAGAATTCAATGCATGCATATCTCTGCCAATGTGTAACTCGGGTGGAAACAGACACTCTTCTAACGTCATAAGATGATTAATTGTGATATACCTTTGCCAGTTTGGGGTGTGGTGTATGGAAATTACCATAACCCACCCCACCTTTTTTGCTGACCTTTTTCTCTTTTAAACCTAGCTGTGCAAATCTAGTAATTTACTTGGAAAATATAATCATAAATTTTTCAGTCGGGCACATTATATACAGAAAGTATTATATTTATTATATTATATTATATTCACCAGGTTTTTTTTATACCACTTTCTGGAATAGAAGCACTAGTTTACTCAAAATGAAGCAGATCATTAATATGATATTCAGTTAACTATTGAAGATTGCTCTTACTTAACCTATACAGATTATTAATGCAAAAGAAGTCACAGATACTTCCCAAAAAAAGACATACAAGCAGCCAACAAACGTAAATAAAGAAGCTCACATCACTGATCATCAGAGAAATGCAAATCGAAACCACAGTGAGACATCATGTCACATCAGTCAGAATGGCTGTTGGTAAAAAGTAAAAAAATAACAGATACTGGCGAGGCTGCGGAGAAAAGGGAACACTTATACACTGTTGTTAGAAATGTAAATTAGCTCAGCCCACTGTGAAAAGCAGTTTGGAGATTTCTCAAAGAACTAAAATCAGAGCTACCGTTTGACCTAGCCATCTCATTACGGGGTGTGTACCCAAAGAAATATAAATCATTCTACCAAAAAGATACATTCATGCATATGTTCATTGCCGCACTAGTCACAATAGCAAAGTCATGGAATCAACCTAGGTGACTCTCAGTGGTGGACTGAATAAAGAAAATGTGGTGTGGTATATATACACCATGGAATATGACACAACCCTACAAAAGAGTGAAATCATGTTTTGCAGTAACATGGATGCAGCCAGAGGCCATTATCCTAAGCAAATTAATGCAGGAACAGAAAACCAAATACCAATATTCTCACTTATACGTGGGAGCTAAACATTGGGTACACACAGATGTAGAGATGGGAACAATGGCCACTGAGGACTAACAGAGGGGGAGGGAGGGAAAAGGAAAGGGCTATAAAACTACCTGTTGAATATTATGGTCTACCTTGATGATAGGATCAATCATACTCCAAACCTCAGCATCACACAATATACCCAGGTAACAAACCTATACATGTTCTGCCTGAATCTAAAACACAAATAGAACTTTTTTTTAAGTCTTGAACAAATTCTCTGGTGACCTTTGAGTTTGTGGGAAAATGCTTAATTTTAAAAGAGAATTAATGTGTTTAGATTAAAATCAATGAAAAAAATATCTACAACACACTGGATGGGACTTACCCTGATTTTTAGACAATGATAGTCATGTTTCAGTTGTAGTTTTACATTTTGCTACTTCCCAAAATTCTCTGACAAAATAAGAAAAAACATGGGTAACAACTAACTCCAAGAAAATGCTCTTTTAAGTGAGAAAATTATTTCCATAATTATGTTTGTTCACTTTGAATTTTCATAGTTAAAGTTACTTAAATATACTGATATCTGTATGCTTTTGTTATCTATCTAGATATAATTCAGGAAAATCATGAGAATTAATTGAGAAAACAGCAAAAACATTTACATTTCATTCCATATTCCTGCTAAATTCTCAACTGATTTTCTCAATTTTTAAAAAAAGACTTTGTTTCTACTGTTAAATTTTAATTTGATTTAACTTTAAGTTCTGGGTTACATGTGCAGGACGTGTAGGTTTGTTACGTAGGTAAACATGTGTCATGGTGGTTTGCCGCACCTACCAACACATCACCTAGGTGTGAAGCCCAGCATGCGTTAGCTATTTATCCTGAGGCTCTCCTCCCCCGATTCCCACCCCTGACAGGCCCCAGTGTGTGTTCCTCCCCTCCCTATGTTCATGTGTTCTCAAAAAAAAGATTTTTATGGAAGAAGGTTTATATCTTTTTAAATAGAAACACGTGACCCATTTGGATAGGAGTTGTTAAACTGTCACATCAATTTCAACAACCTAAGTTGATATAATATCTCAAAGCACTGAATTCTGAAGATTCAGATAACCTCCAGTTTACTCTCTTTATTTCACATGATGAAAATTGAGCCAAAGAGGTTGAATAATGCATCTGAAGACTTCACCAAAACACGTATTTGATGTGGTTTCCTAATTCTCTGCATCATGAAGATTTTGCTGTAGAATTCTCCCATTAAAAATAGTCAATATGCGTAACATCTTAGGTTTGGGTGAGTTTCCATGTTTATTGCTATGTGTTTAAATTTTTATAAAACACAGAAAAAAACTAGTCAAAATTCCTAAGTGGAACAATCCAGAACGATGAATGGAATTTCTGATTTTATTAATTGCCTCGGAAATTGAGGCCGAAAGAGGTCAACCGTCCGAAGTTCACACAACTAGTCAGTGGTAAAGTTGGAACGAGTGCCATAAACTTTTGTTTAGTCAGCTTTGCAGTGCAGCCTCTTTAGATGCAGCGTATACAGAGAGAAATGTGTTGAGAGTTCTGATGACAGGAAATCTTGGCTGGAGTTCATAGGTAAAGAGATCTTCTGAAGAAGTGATTGGCAATACCAAAATGTCCTCTGATATTACTGAATTTGTGTTGTTAAGATTTCAAATGTCTGAGATGTAAATATAGTGGTTTAATGTGAACAAAGAGTAAATCCAAAAATAAAAGTGAGGAGGTGAAGAAAAAGCAGTGAAAACACTTAACGCCTTAAGCATAAAATAAATCAGACTTTCACGCCAATGCCCAAAATTTCAGAAAACCAAATACCATGTTCTCACTTATACATGGGAACTAAATGATGAGAACACATGGACGCATACAGGGGAACAACACATGCTGGGGAAAATGGTGGGGCGTGGAGGGTGGGAGGAGGAAAAGGATCAAGAAAAATATTAATGGATACTAGCCTTAACACGTGGGTGACAAAATAACCTGTACGACAAACCCCCATGACATTAAGTTTACCTATGTAACCTACGCATGTACCCCTGAACTTACAATAAAAGTTTAAAAAATATGCATTCCTAGGCAATTCATTATCTTGCAATATTCACAAGATGCAAAACCAACACTTTTGTGACTGTGGTTGCATTATAAGGGCATATAACTTTCTGCTTTAAGTATTTGATGATCTTTTCTCCAAATCAAAACTCCAGAGATTCCCTCATGGATGAATAATCAAGTCACAATTATCTTTATATCTTCTCTCTTATTCCCAGCACCAAGCAGAATGCTTACCCACAGTAGGTTCTTAAAAAGTATAATTGTTAAATAAATGAAGAAATGACTAATGAATGAGAATAAGTCAGCCCAAACCATTACTTGAAAAAAAAAATGAAAATTTCTGAGCAGATTTTAGAAATAATGACTGTGAAAGAAGACAATGACCAAAAGAGAAAGAATACTGGTGTGTATAGGATGGCTCCCCCGTGTTAAACACAATTAGTAAAATAGTTCTCAAATTTGACCAAGAGCAATGTATACTCAAAGAAGTCACCCACATCAGACATTTCTCCATAGAGATACGTCAAGTGTCTACTATGTGAAGGACAGATGTCAAATGTTGTCACTCATGGAATCTCAGTGAAGAGGCAGTATGATAAGATGGTGACAAAGCGATTAAAGAAACAGCTTAAAAAATCAGAAAAATCTAGATTAAAATCTTGCCTTTTCTATTCACTACCTGCATAACCTTGAGTGACTTATTTAAATCTGCTAAGGATCAGTTGCAGTTGTGTCGTTTAAAAAGCAAGGATAGTGCTTAAGTCCAACATGGTTGTGAGAGTTAAATGAAATGATGTATGTGTAGCACCGAGAAAATGTCTCATGTAGAGTGAATACTTCCACACTGCTCTCCTTCCTTCATTCTCCTCATCTGGAGTTATGCAGACAATGATAAACAACGCATGGCTATTCTGTGCCATGAATAGAAGAGTGGAAGGTTCTATCAGTTGGGCTTGGATGCACTGTCTGTGCCTCCATCTAGCTTTTTAGCCCATAGAAGATAGTGGGTTCACTTCAATGAAAGTGAATATTTCCAGGAAAGCATAAACCCTTTGTGAGGTGTAATCTTGCTGCCCCCACAGGAGGCAACACCACAGGCAGTCAGAAGTGCTGAGGTGCAGTGGGTGCTCAGGAGATTCCTGGAACCTGATGTTCACTTCACTCCCACCCAACTGCTGATAGAAAAGCAAGAGGCACAGCAGAGATCAATTCCTGTTGCTCTTTTTCTTAGGCACAAACTGGACTACATTGTACAGCCTCTCCCGTAGCTCTTGTGGCTAGACAAATGAGTTCTGACCCACTTCCAACTAGTAGAATATGAGCAGAAGTGCTTCTAGCCCCACAAAGACTTTTCTAAATCTCCATGATTTTTCTCCTTCAGCTCACCAATGCCTGAGTCCTGAATTATTGATGAAAAGACAGCTGCCCAGTAACCTAGACATGAGCAAGAAATAAGAGCTGGTTGTGACTCTACGCAAATTTAGGAGGGAACTCTATTTCATTTAGGGGGGAAATATTTTCACTACACAGACATGAGTATGACTAAAAAGCTATTTTAGCAGATAATGGTTGCCTACTCTAAAGAATTCGAGAAGAAAGATGAAGAAAGACTGACTTAGTTTTGTTCTTTCATCAATGTTCACGTAAACAGGATAGGCAACAGACACCACAAAACCAGAATGATTTGTAGATGCCAAAAGCACTTTCAGCAGCTAAATATCTCTTTAATTCCCACCCAGTGGACTTTTTAACTTTCTGTGTTGAGGTTATAGGAGAAGGAAGGAAGTATCTCAAGGAAAAGACTCTTGCATTTAGTTTCCTGCACTTGCTTGGTAGGCACAAAATATACACCTATTGAGTAAAAAGATGTATGTAATGACTCTATCCCAAAGCTGCCTCAATGTTTATCCTCTGAAACATAAAGAAAAACTATTTTTATTCACAGATGAATACAGAGTTGCTGATACTGTGACACTCCAGGGATAAAGTAGTGTGTGATTAGTGCCTGGGTGCACCCTGCAGATGGAGCAGAGTTCAACCGACAGCTCCAGTGGAGTCTCTCCCTATTTAAGGGTCATTTATCAGGGACAAAAAGGGCAGATCTCAGAAGAAAAGAACCTTAAGAAATGTACTGCCAGTGGAAACAGTTACTAAGAGTCAAGGTGAATTTCTCCTATAAAACTTAGCCTCCAGTCCAGGCACAGTGGCTCACGGCAGCACTTTGGGAGGCCTAGGCGGGTGGATCACCAGAGGTCAGGAGTTCGAGACCAGCCTGGCCAATATGGTAAAACCCCTTCTATACTAAAAATACAGAAATTAGCTGGGCGCCCTGGTGCACACATGTAATCCCAGCTACTTGGGAGGCTGAGGCAAGTGAATCACTTGAATCCCAAAGGCGAAGGTTGCAGTAAGCCAAGATTGCCCCACTTCACTCCAGCCTGGACGACAGAATGAGATTCCGTCTCAACAACAACAACGGCAACAACAAATCTTAGCTTCTAAATGGCTCTGCCAGCAGAGTGTGGAAAACAGCAAACAAATTGAAATAAACTGAATCAAATAAGCATTAAGTTAGGGTAGCACAACATTGAATTTGAACCCTCATATAGCAATTAATGCCTTTATAAAAAAACGCTGCTCTGAACTTGCATTGAAAGTGAAAAAGCAATAGAGAAATGACCTTAGGAATGTGTGGTAGGCACAATTCTTTGTTGGTCTTACATTCTAAATCCAGGGCTTTAGAATTTAATTCTAGTATTTACTTTTCTAGTCTATAAAATGACAATAAATAACCCACCAACAAATAATAATGTGTGGTTGAACGCAAAAATATCAGGTGTTTCAGTCTATGTGCAACAAAGATAGTGCAAATGCAAATCTATTGAAATCCAAAGGAAATGATGAATGCGTTACTTCCAGATACTTTTCTGCAGACAGGAAACGTTCAGTTGCTCTTTTTTTCCCTACATTATTTGCAGTTAGAGGAAGTCATCAACACACCAGATGCAATAGGTCATTCTTCAAACTTGACTTGTTTCCACTTTAGCAACAAGTCCTTGAACTATGGAAATTCTACAAGCCAGTCAATTTATTCTCAGAACCAATTCTAAAATGAATCGGTTGGAGGCACAGATGTAAAAGATTTAAACTCTGAACTGAATCCAAAAATATTGCAACAATCACTTTCATTTTGCCAGATTCAGCTGACTGCTTTTGATGACTTTATGCTTCTCCCTGGAACTTCTGATCAGCTATGACTCTAATACATAATGATGAGAGCCAATAATTAGCTCTTTGATGCCAAATTACATCAATGCCTTGAATTTTTATTATTAATTACTGTGGACAAGGATTGATAACTGCCATGGTACTCAGGAATTAGCAGGACCTGACCCTGGCTGCATCCTGCATCTCTAGTTGTGTCCTTCTCCCTTCCTTCTCAGTACCCTCTCCTTCATTCATTCTCTAAGCATCATGGCATAGTTTCCAAACATGTCCTGTTCTCTCTGCTTTCTCGCTATGCTTTTGTATCTGCTATTGAAATAGGAGGCAGGACTCAACTCCAGAGGTTGGATTCAACTCTGGACCAGATTGAAGACTAGTTGAAACAGGGAAGAGGCGAACGTACCTCTCCATAAGACTTGCTTGCCAGTGCCAGGACTGTTTACCATTGCCATGGCAACACTCAGAAGTTGCCGCCCCCTTCCAAGTCAATTACCAAAAAGTTGCCACCCATTGTCTAGAAATTTCTGTATAATCAGTCCCTTAATTTGCATATGATTAAAAGTAGGTATAAATATTACTGCGGAACTGCCCCTGAGCTGCTACTCTGGACACACTGCCTGTGGGGTAGCCCTGTTCTGCAGAAACAGTCACAGAGATGTAATACTCCTGTCTTAATAAAGCTGTTTTGTTCTGCCAACATAGCTCACTCTTTAATTCTTTCTTGAACAAAACCAAAAGCCCTCTCGGGATAAGCCCCAATTTTGAGGCTCACCTGCCCTGCAACACTATTACATCTTCCTGCCTACAGGAAGAAAATGGCTACAGTTGGCTAGTCCTTGAAAGTTTCCCTCAATCAATTATCTACTTGGGGAGACCTTCTTTGACCCAACACAAGTTTATCTCCTATCATGGTTTTGCCCTAACACCAATCACCATGTGCAATAATTACTTATTAGGGTTTATTTTTCATATAAAGTCTTTGAAGGTACCAGTGGGTTTCATTATCTTTTTTTTTTTTTTTTTCTGTGGCGCTATCTTGGCTCACTGCAACCTCCACCTCCCGGGTTCAAGTGATTCTTTTGCCTCAGCCTCCTGAGTAGCTGGGACTACAGGCACGTGCCACCAAGTCCAGCTAATTTTTTGTATTTTTAGTAGAGATGGGGTTTGACCGTGTTAGTCAAGATGGTCTCCATCTCCTGACCTCACGATCCACCCGCCTTGGCCTCCCAGGTGCTGGGATTACGGGTGTGAGCCACCACACCCAGCCCATTACCTTAAGTCCACAATAAATTGAAGGTAAATTGTTGGATTAATATGTATATCTTCAACAAGACTGTGAACCCTTGCAGGACAACCACCAAGTCCAACACCCAGCATATATATATATATATAAGAAAAGAATACTGAATGGACTAATGTAATCATGTATTTTGTTAGACGTAATATGATCATTACCAATTGTGGTACCAAAAAAAAAAAAAAAAGATCCTAATCTATTCCTCGGGTCTAATGCATTAATACATTAATTCTTCTCAATATTACAATTGAGAACTTTTTTTATGAAGGTAGAGAGTCAAAACCAAAACCATTATCTGGTGTAAAGATTTGTAAGGTGTGTATTTACCAAAGAGAAAATTCTAATTTTCTTTTTAAATATTGAATACACTTTTTTATTTTAAGGTAATTTTACATTTACAGAAAACTTATATAGTACAGAGTTCCTATATACCACACACCAAGTTTCTGTTATCATTATCTTACAATAATGTAATGTATTTATCACCTTTAATGACCTAGTATATCAATAGCATACCTTTAATAAAAAGCCATAGTTGATTTCAGTTTCTTAGTTTTTATCTAATGTTCTCGTTTTCTCTTTCGTGATCCCATCTGAGATACCTTATAATATTTGGTCATTATTTCTCCATAAGCCCCTCTGGGTATTACAGTTTCTCAAGCTTTTCTTATTTTTGATGACCTAGACAATTTGAGAAGTATTGGCCAAGTGTTTTGTAGAAAGTTTCTCAATTTTTTTTCTTGGGACAAGTAAAAAATTAAAAAAAAATTTTTTAATGTATTTTAAAAACAAAGTCCCTTAATTGAGATTCATCTGATCTTTTTTTTCAAAATTAAATTCAAGTTATGATTTTGGGAAGAAGACCACAGAGGGAAAATGCCACTCTCATCAAATCACCTCAAGGGAATATATTATGAACATGACCTGTCACTGTAGTTGTGAAAGATGATTACATGGCTGAAGTAGTGTCATCAGGTTTCTCTACTTAAAACTCCTCTTCTTTTTCCCTTTCCCACTTCACTCTTTGGAAGAAGTCACTGTGTGCAGCCCACACTTAAGGAATACAGAGTTATCTAGGGCAAATCATCCACAGAAACTCTTCTGCACAGATTTTTGTATTCTCTCCGATTTATTTGTCAATTAATTACTTATATCAGTATAGATTAATGGATTTTCATTTTATACTCTGGGTCATATCCATCACTAGTTTATTTTGTTATTCAAATTGTTCCAGCTTTGACCATTGGGGATTCCTTCAATTAGCTCTAGTGTCCTTTTGAAACGTCTTCAATATGGTGGTTCTTTCTCTTTTTCTTTTCTTTTTTTGTGAGCATTTTCTTATCTGTCACTACAAGATGTTCTAGGTTCATCTTGTGTATATCATGTTCCAATCCTAGACTCAAGTCATTTCTTCACTGAGCTCTAGTTTCTTTTATTTGAGAATATAATTTGAAACCAAGATCTAGGCACTAGGTATGCTTGTTACTACTGGGGTACTGGGGAATCATGGCTCCTAGGCCCTCTGAGGGTCTAAGCTGAGACAGCAAGGAAATGTATGTGTGTTTGCTAACCTATGTATATACATGTAACTCATGTAAATTTTTCTGTATGTAACCTTCTGTATCTATATTAAGCTAAACATATATTCAAACTAATGCCCACAACTTTAATTTATCACCACATGGATCATTGTAGTCTCTTCCCTTCCTTACTTGTAGCCTCCCACTCCAGCAGTGAGAAAGTTGACTTTCACCACTCACCATTTAAGTACCTAATTGTTCAAAAGCACTATGCACGTATGCTGCTTTCAGAATTGTGGATCCATAACCCATTGTGAAAAACCTTTACCAACCAGAGTGCAGTTCTTCTGCACAGTTCCTTTTGCCATTAGTATTCCAGACTCCACATATTTGCAACATTATGTAGATCCCACCTTCTCCCTCTCCATGCGGTATGGTTGTTTTATACATTTCTAATACACTTGGAGTCTTTTGCAACATTCCGCATTTTATCCTGAGATCCACCAGTCACTTAGATAATTTTTTAATTGGCAAACATTAAGGCTAACTCTTTTTGTTATAAAGTTTTGTGAGTTTTGACAAATACATACTGTCATATATTGTTTATGACACTACCAAAAAAATAGTTTCCCACCCTAAAATATCTTCTGCTCACCACCTATTTAACTCACCTCCTCCAAAGCTCCAACAACCATTGATGTATTTATTGTCTTTATAGTTTCCCCTTTTCCAGAATATTCTATAAAGGGAATCATACAGCTTTTTAAGACTGGCTTCTTCTACTTAGCAATATGCATTTACTATTCACTCATGTTTCTGCATGTCTTCGTAGCTCATTACCTCTTATCAATGATAGTACTCTATTGTGTAGTTGTACTTCAGTTTGTTTATCTATTCACATATTAAAGGACATCTTGGTTGCTTCCAATTTTTGGCAATTATGAAAGACAGTGTTATAAACTTTCGCATGCATGTTGTGGACATCAGTTTTCACGTCAGTTGGGTAAATACCTAGGAGCGGGATTACAGAGTTGTATTTATGGCAATGTTTAGCTTTGTTAAAAACTGCCAAACTCTCTTCCTATGTGGCTGTACTCTTGCATTTCTACCAGCAACAAAATAAACTTCTTGTTGCTCTGCATTCCTGCCAGCAATTGGTATTTTCAACTGGAAAAGGATGACAGGGCTGGCCACCATAATAGGAATGCAATGGTGTCTCATTGTTGTGATAATATGCAATTATCTAATGGCTAATGATGTTGAGCATCATTTCATGTTTATTTTCCATCTGCATATCTTATCTGGTGAGATGTTTATTAAGATCTTTGCTTATTTTTAAATTGGGTTGTCTTCTTATTGTTGGATTTAAAGAGTTCTTTGTATATTTTGGATACAAGTTCTTTATCAGATATAAATTTTGCAAACATTTTTTTCCCAGTTTATGACTTGGATTTTCATTCTCTTAGTTTTTTTGCAATGCAGAAGATTTTAACTTTAATAAAGTCAAATGTATCAATTGTTTTCATGAGGTGTGCTTTTTGTATTGTATCTAAAAATAAATTGCCAAACTCCAGATCACACAGATTTTCTCCTGTTTTCTTCTGGGAATGTTATAGTTTTGCATTTTACACTTAAGTTTATGACCCATTTTGATTCAAATTTTTGGAAAATGTAGTTTCTGTCCGGATTTTTTATTTATATATGGGCATTTAATTGTTCCAGCTCCATTTGCTGAAAATATTATCCTTTCTCTAGTGACAGATTGCTTTCACTCCTTTGTCAAATATCACTTGGCTATGCATGTGTTGGTCTATTTATCAGTTCTTTGTCTTGTCCTGTTGATCCATGTGTCCATCCTTTCACTAACACCACATTGCCTTTATTAATGTACCTTCATAGTGAGTCTTTAAATTTTAAATTGGGTAGTGTGAGTCCTCCAACTTTATTTTTATTTTTTAAGATTACATTGGCTATTCTTGGTCTTCTGCCTTTCAATATAAAATGAGAGTCAACTTGTTAGTTGATATCAAAAAATAGTTTGCTAGGATTTTTATTGGAATTGTATTGAATGTATAAATTAAACTGGGAAGAATTGACATCTTAACAATAATGACTGTTCTGATTCATGAATATGGAACATTTCTATATATATGCTTTACTTCCTTCATCAGTGTTTTATAGTTTCCTATATGTACATTCTGTACATATATTCTCAGATTTATAACAAAATATTCCATTTTTGCTGCTGTCATAAGTGGTGTATTTTAAATTTTTTCATTTCAATCACTCATTGCTGATATATAGAAAATTGGTTGGCTATGTATGTTAATCTTTTATCCTGCCACTTTGCTCATTAGTTCTAGGAATATTTTGTAGATTATTTGGGATTCTTTTGTATATAGATAATTATGTCATCTGAATAAAAATAATTGTTTCTTCCTTTCCATTTTATACATTTTTAATTGTTTTTTCTTGTCTTACTGTATTAACTTAGACTTCCAGTACAATGTTGTTTAGGAGCAGTTAGAGAGGACAATATTGCCTTTTTCTCTATCTTAGAGAAAATGTATCTCTCCATTAAGTATAATGTTAACTGTAGGTTACTGTAGATTCCTTTTTCAAGCTGAGAAAATTTTACTCTATTTGTATTTTGCTGAAAGTTTTATCATGAATGTGGATTTCGTCAAAAGCTTTTTCAGCAGTAATTGATATAATCATATAATTTTTCTTCTTTAGCATGTTGATACAGTAGATTATATTGGTTGATTTTCAAGTGTGAAACCAATCTTGTATAACTGAAATAAATGCCACTTGGTCATAGTTTATAATTCCTTTTACATATTGCTGGATTCAATTTGTTAATATTTCATTGAGAACTTGTGCATCCATGTTTATGAGAAAAATTAATCTATTTTCTTGGTTAGCCCAGCTAGAGATTCATCAAGGTTTTTTGACAAACCTTCTCAAAAAACAATTTCTGGTTTCTGAGATTATTTTTCTATTACATTTGTGAAATTTATGGTTCCAATTTCATTGATTTCAGCTCTAATTTTGTTATATCTTTTCCCCTGCTTGCATTAAGCCTAAATTGCTCTTCTTTCTCTAGTTCTCTTGGGTGGAGGCTAAAATGATTGATTTTTTTTAAATCTTTCTTCTTTTCTTATGTAAATATTTGAAGCCATAAATTTCCCTCTAAGCACTACTGTTGCTGCATCCCAAAAATTTTCATAAGTTCTGTTTTCATTTTTCTTTAGTTCAAAATTATTTTTCAATTTCTCTTGATACTACTTCTTTGATACTTGGGTTATATATAAGCATGTTTTAAATTTTCTGTATATTTAGAGATTTCCAACAATTTTTCTGTTATTAATTTCTAGTTTAGTTCCATTGTATTCTTTTATTATTATTTTATTTTTTATTTTTGTTTTTTATTTAGTCTTTTATTATTGTTTAATCTCCCTCTTTATCCCTGCTCATCTTCTTTGTTCTGAGATGTGTGTTTTCTGAAATTAATATTGCTATTCCAGCTTGATTTTTTTTTCTTTTTTGAGACGGAATCTTGCTGTGTCATCCAGGCTGGAGTGCAGTGGCACAATTTCTGCTCACTGCAACCTCCATCTTCTGGGTTCAAGCGATTCTCCTACCTCAGCCTCCCAAGTAGCTGGGATTACAGGTGTGTGGCACCACGCCCAGCTAATTTCTTGTATTTTTAGTAGAGACAGGATTTCACCATGTTAACCAGGATGGTCTCAATCTCTGACCTTGTGATCCGCCCGCCTCTGCCCTGCAAAGTGCTGGGATAACAGGGCTGAGCCACTGCACCCGGCCCTCCAGCTTGCTTTTGACTAGATACATCTATTTGTATCTAGCCAATGATACATCATTCTTCTTCCCTTTATGTTCAACTGAGTCTTTTCATTTAAATCCAGTAGATTTTTATTTTTTTCCACTCTGGCAATCTCTGTCTTGTAATTGGCATATTTAGACCATTCACATTTAAAGTAATTATTAATACAGTTGGATTTATATCATGCTTGTACCTGTTTTCTATATTTTGCATTTGTTTCTTCTTCCCGCCATTTTTGTCTTCCTTCTCCTGTCGTTGGACATCAGTGCTCCTGGTTCTGAGGCCTTTGGACTCCTACTAAAAAATACCACTAGCTTTCTTGGTTCTATAGCTTGCAGATGGTAAATCATAGGACTTCTCGGCCTCCTTTGTTGTATGAGCCAATTCTTATAACAGGTATATAGACGTATATGTACATCTTTATATTATTGTTTCTTTTTCTCTAGGGAACTCTAATACAATCTCTTGTTACTGAATCAAGGTGATAACTTAGGTTCTTACTCTGTGTCTCTTATATTTTCTTTTAGAGAGGGAGGCACATAAAATAAAAATTGGAACATAACATTTACTTGCCTAATATTTGTAAATGGCTTCCTGAAACTCTAACATATATTGCACTGCTGTGACTCCCTTGAACATCTAGTTCTCCGAGATCAGAGACCCTGACTTTTACAGAGACCCTGACTTTTACATTCAATGCTATATCTCTATAGAGCCTGTTAGGAGAACTGGCATTTTTGTTAGGGCTCAATAATTATGTTGTGATTCATGAGTGAATCTGTTAAATGAGAAAACCATGTTATCACATCACGTCGTTATTACCTAATTACAACCTTCATTATCTGTCTACCTTCAACAGACTGTAATCTCCACAAATACAGGGACCACCTACTTTTATAGTTAAGTCACAACGTCAAGCACAGTGTCTGATGCAACTCAATAAATATCTGTTGAATTGAATTGATCCTGTAATGTAAATATTGACAAGTGTATATGAAATCAAGTTTCTTAATAGCATATATCCATTTCATTATTACTAAGTGCCTTGTTATCACATTACTACATTAATATATCATTAATATTATTTAAATTTGCTGAGTTTCCCTCATGGAAATTAAGAGCCTGGGGAACTTGCTCCAGTTGGAAGCTTGGGCTGGGAGCTAAGAGTTGGCATGACGTGTAATAACTTTTCACATTTGCATATTATTTGCTTTTTTCTGAATAACTTAACATACATTACCTCATCAAGATCCCATAGGAGACATTTGTTTTTTCTCTCCTATAAGCATATTTTATTTGCCGATGTACTTCTTTTCCTCTATATGTTTCAGCCTCTGTTGCCACGTGGAAAAAGAGGAATAGAACAAATGAAGCCTGCAGAGTAGTCTCATAATATATAAGCACCCGGAAATTCTTGTTACAACAGGGGAGCATTATTAGCCCTATGTCAAACTATCAGTCCAACTATTAGAAACGATATGTATAATGATTGCATAAATTTCATGTATTCAAATTTAATATTGCAATTGAATTATAGAATTTGGATTGAAAGTTATGATCTCTTCAGTGAAAATGTTGGATGGGATTTGATATTTCCTTCAGAGCTTATGTACCTCTAGGGAGCAAAGACAACAAACATGATCAAAGTTAATAATCCATGATAGATATGCACCTAAATAGCATTAAAATATATTGTGTGCCAATTTTTAACAAATGACCTAGAAACAATAATTGCCCTTTTAACTCCTCAAAAAATGATATCCTCCTCAAGATAAATTGGTTCTAAGGACACTCAATTTAGTTTTTAAATTTAGAAACTCAATAGTCAAAGTCCAAAGTGTCTTGAAGGCTGAAGATTGTGCTTCTCTGGATGGCAGGGTCGTCTCATGGGATCGTGTCGAACTTAGGCAGAATTAATCACCTTCTTTCTGAAATACAAATAAGCAAGAAGGTTTTCACTTTCTATAGCCATGAAGCATATCACTGATGCTTCAAGGTTGAAAATAATGAATACTGATTATAATAGTCAAGAATAACCCAAAAATTAAAGGGAGA
This sequence comes from Homo sapiens, assembly GCF_000001405.40. Lineage (NCBI taxonomy): Eukaryota > Metazoa > Chordata > Mammalia > Primates > Hominidae > Homo > Homo sapiens. The sequence goes on along the minus strand of NC_000010.11, from coordinate 8,882,990 downwards.
TTTCAAAAGGTAACTAATCCTAGGGTCAATATCCTTCTAATATGTTAACTTGAAGAGAAGAGAGAAAAAAATAACTTGAGTAAACCCTAGAGATGATTGCAAATGAGGAGATTACACACTCAAGACTGGAAAGTTACAAACGGAAAAGCTGCAGATGGATCTTGAGAGTTTAAGATGTAAAAGAAAATCAAGTGAATAAGATTTAATTTAGATAGACAAAATGCCTTTATAAGAAGAATAATGTCAATGGGATTTATAAATCAAGTGAATACCAATTAGAAGGCAAAATAAAAGACAAGAACCACAGACAAGTGAAGTTCTAATGTCAGAGGATATAACTAAAGATTTATATTTGGGTCAAATTTCACTATTTTGGAATAACAGGGTACATTATTTTTTAAGTAGATTTTTATTGTTTATATAAAAGTGAAACTTTTATGTTTGAAAGGTGGGGGGAGTACAGTAACCCAATATATTCACCCAAGACCCAGAATAATTCAGTTTAGCTAATAAACATGCATAAAAGGCTTATTAGCCAGGCTCATGCCTGTAATTCCAACATTTTGGGAGGCCGAGGCAGGTGGATTGCTTGAGGTCAGGAGTTCCAGGCCAGCCTGGCCAACATGGTGAAATCCCATCTCTACTAAAAATACAAAAAATTAGTGGAGCGTGGTGGCTCATGCCTGTAATCCCAGCTACTCAAGAGGCTGAGGCAGGAGAATTGCTTAAACCCTGGAGATGGAGGTTGCAGTGAGCCAAGATTGTGCCTCTGCTCTCCAGCCTGGGTGACAGACAGAGACTCCATCTCACCAAAGGAAAAAAAAAAAAAAAGTATTATATGCGGGGGTGGTGCAGGGGCAGAAATTGGGCTAGATACCGGAGGTTAAAAGATGAATAAAATATGGTCACCACCTTTCATGAGTTTATAGTCTATTGCGGGAAACCATTACATAATTAGATAATCTCAATATATTATTATAAATGTTAAGTAAATTATATATGCTTAAGTGACATCAGAGTGCACAGGAGGCTATAAGAAGGAACAACAGTGATTATAAAGGTTAGATTGACTTATCTGAATCAAATACATCTTGTAAACCTTTTCAAGGGCATTCATAATTCCAGGCTTTATGGAATGAAGATTTGTTGAAAGAAGCAAAAACAAACAACAAACAAAAAACTGTAAAAGAAATATAACCAATGACTAACCATTGACACAAGTGTGACTAGGAATATACACCGTATTTTAAAGACTGTTTTCTCTTGTATTAGTACAAAGTATTTTGTAAATTGCAAGGCACATATACGTACAAAGTCACAACTGAAGGAGATTCCTCAGTTTGTCTCTTCTAATGTAAATTTGGGACTTCTGCATGGGATCAAGATAGAGTAGCCAGGACCAGATTTACCCTTGACCTAAAACAACCTAAAATCAGGACAGATGTGTGAAATAACGGTGCTCAAGGTACTGGACCTCAGGCAGTGAAGGACCGTGATCCATGAGAGGCTGAAAACAAACACACTAAGCACAGTAGCTGCTCCGCTTACTGTCTTGATAGAGTTTCTTGGCTAAGCAGGAGACCCAGGAGGAACCGAGTGATCACCCTGAGTATGGAGAACATGTTAGTCACATTCGCTATGGTTCCTCTTCCCTCCCACTGCTAGAGCCATGAACAAGCATAGATCATGGAACTCCACCATGAAAACAAGGGTCCTGGGACCCCAGAGATAAAAGTTGTGGAAGTATGGCTCTCTACTTCAACACTGCAGCTTTATAGAGTGTCTCACTCTCAAGCTAATTCACACTCAATCTCTAGCAATTTGTCAAATTCTCATTTGCTTCTGTAGTATATAGTTGCAGTGTCTTCAGCTCCAAGTAAGTAGAGCATGGCTGTGATACTCTGGCTTCATCTGTCACTCCAATTTCAGGGCAGAAATTTGCCCTGAGACCTCAGTTCTCTAATGGGTTCAAGAAATGTCCTTGACTTTCAGTTTGTTCAGCTTTTTCTTGTAAGGATGGGAATTGACAATTCCTAGCTTTCTAGTTATCAAAGCTAAACATATAGAAGTCAAAAGCTGACATTTTTAAAAATACAATTTAAAAGGTAATTTAAAAATATAAAATAATTGGGAATCTGAAAAATGATGTGCAATGGCTGTATACTAAAAAAATACTCTGAAAAATTGAAGAATGTCAAGATGTTCGAAGAGATACACCATATTCATATTCACACATCCAAAGACCCAATCTTGTTTAGATCTCACTTCTCAACAAATTGATCTATATTGATCTATAAATTCAATGCAATCTCAATAAAAATTCAAAAAGGTGGTTTTTTTTCCAATAGAAATTGACAAGCTAATTCTAAAAGTCATATGGACATGTATATGTCTTAGAACAGCCAAAACAACTTTGACAATGTATCAGGTTAAAGGAATAACACTAGTTCATTTTTAACTTTTTAAAAGCTACACTAATCAAGATATTATGGTATTAGTTTCAAAATAGACTACTAGATCATGGAACAGAGAATGGATTATGAAACAGAGCCCAGAAATTTACTCACCCATATAGAGACAATTGATTTTTTACAACCATGTAAAGTGAAGAAACAGCAGTCATTCAATAAATGGCTGCAATAATTGGATATCTACATGCAAAAAAAAATAACTTGTAGCATATATAAAAATTAGCTCAAAATGAATCACAGACCTAGATGTAAAAGCAAAAACTAAAGCTTTACTAGAAAATTTTTGTGACATCAAGTCAAACACAAATATCATAAATAAGACACTAAAACATTAAATAAAAATTTGATACATTTTATTTCATCCCATTTAAAACTGCAGGTCTTTAAAATACACTGTGAAGAGAACAAAAAGATAAACCACCTACTGGGAGAAAATGTTTGCAAACCTTATATACCCGATAAAGGCCATGTATGCAGTCCATGTAAAAAGTTGTCAAACACGATGACAAGAATACAAACTCCCCATTAAATAGTAGGCCAAAAATTTGGACAATAACTTCTTCAAAGAAAATGTATGAATGGCAAGGAAGCACATGAAAGTCTGCCCAATGTTATTAGCTATTAGAAAAATGAAAATTAAAACTGCAGTGTGATACTTTTGTATACTACTAGAATGATTAAAATTAAAAAGCCATCAGACCATAGCAAGATTTAACAATTCCTGTGGAGAGTTGGAATACTTACGCATTGATGTAGGACAATAAAAAAGGTTGAACCACTATGGAAAAGAGTTTGGCAGTTTCTTAAAAAGATAGACATACACCTCGCCTATGATCTAAACATTTCACTTCCAGGTGTTTACCCAAGAGAAATCAAAACATATGCTCATACAAATACTTGTACACAAATGTTCATAAGAGTCTTTTTGCAGTAACAGCAAACTGGAAATACCTCAAAAGTTGATCAACTGGTAAATGAATAAATAAACTGTGGTATTTCCATGCAACAGAATACCATTAAGCAATAAAAAGTATGAGCTGCTGAGACACAAAACAACATGGATGAATTGAAAAAATAATTATACTGAATGAAAGAAGCCAGAAAAAAAATGTATACAAGCTGTATTCTATGTATATGAAATTTGTGAAAATGTATGCTAATCTATACTGACAGAGATCAATAGTTACCAAGGGATAGGGAGAAAGTCATGAGGAGAAATTACAACTGATGAGCATTTCTTTTTGAGATTGTGGCCATGTTGACTCCTTTAACTACGGGTATATACATATGTTTAAACTTAGTTTAAAGATGTGCAGCTAATTGTATGCCAAGTATCTCTAAGCAAAGCTCTTAATGTTCAAAAATGTATTAAGGAGTAACAAATTATAAGATTTTTACAGACATGTCTATATAAGTTTGAACATGCTTTGAAAATTGTTTCATCTTTTATTGGCTTAGTTGGGGGAAATGATCTCCTGAACTTAGTGCCATCAGGAATTTTTTATTTTTGTTTTTATTTTTTGAGACCCAGTCTCGTCTCACTGTGTTGCCCAGGCTGGATCGAAGTGGCGTGATCATAGCTCACTGTGGCCTCAAACACCTGGGCTCAAGCAATCCTCCCACCTCAGCCTCCTTAGGGGCTGGGACTACAGGCATGAGCCACTGTGCCTGGCCAGAAAATTTTTTAATATCATGTGAAAGGCACAGAAGCCATCCCTGGTTTCAGATATTTCACAACTTAGAAAAATACCATACAGATACGTGAACATAAACTCTTCTCACACACAAACAAGAGTAGCTTAGAGGAAGACACAATAAACTAGATCAGTTGGCCATTTAAAGGCACAGTAAGTATGATTTTTATAAAATTTATGGATAATGAATTTATTTTACCTTTATTTGAGTTCTCTAGCATTCAAATAAAAAGAGACAGAGACAGAAACAAGATTCACTAGCTTTTTTCTGTTGTATCTTTCTCGTATTTTTCCTTAAGTGACATCCATATGTTTTTAGATATGAGGTGTGATGATCTTTTTATTTTTTGGCTGCTACAGACCTTAGTTATTAAATCAAATACTAATCTGAGTGTTGCTGTAAAGATGTTTAGTAAAATGCAATTAAAGTCTATAATCAGTTGACTTTACATGAGAGATATCAACCTAATTGACAATCTGGGTTGGGCTGGTTCAATCAAGTAGAAGCAACATGAGCTGAGCTGAAGCTCCCCTGAAGAAGAGAGTCCACCTGTGGACAGGAGCTTCAGCCCATGCAGAAGTGTTTCAGCCCGTCTTTCCAGATGGCCTGCTCTATGGATTTTGAACTTGCCTAGCCAACCCCACAATTGGACAAGTCAGTTCCTTGCAATAAATCTCTTAATCTATATCACCTTTTGCTTTTGCGTCTCCGGTTGTATACTGACTGATAAGTATAAAACCCTCATAAATAAATTAATTTTAAGCACAGATTTCCCAACCTGCCCATCCTGCACCAGTCTCTCTAGGCAGAATCAATGCCTCCTTCCTATGCCTCTCCGTTTTCTTCATACGTTGTTCAATTGTCCATCGAGCATGGAACACCTGTTCTGTTATAGATGCTGTCGGTTCCCACATCCCTCTTCCCTATTTGATTGTGAGTTTTTTAATATTATTCATCCTTTCTCTGCTAGTACCTAACAAATTCTTGTTGAAAATCTATTGATAACACAAATTTATGTATTAAATAAGTGACTCAATGCATTTGTCAGACAGGTTTGTCCTGTCTCCCAGGGGGGTGGGCTTTTACTTTTTGCACCAACAACTATCTTTGTATATAGGCTGTGAGATTATTGTTCTTTCCCATTTGTGACAATCATAATCTAAATTTTAAAAGATGACTCAAAATTCAAATCACCTATGCTACCAGGCTACAGTTACTTAACAATTTTAAGTTAAAGCACATAGAATTCTCAAAACACCCGCCTTAACATTCATTCCATAAACACACACAATACAACACATTACCAAGGGCTCGCTATAACACAAATAATTGAACATTTCTGTTCTGATTCCAGGTCACTCTGTGATTCTGATTTTGTTAATGTTCACCTTTGTCTTCAAACTTTGCAACAGCAATGCAACCTGAAGTTTTCAAAACCATTTAAACAGCAGTTGTGAAAACTGGGAGTATCTCAGAGGCATTTTGTACCATCAAATAAACATGTTTCTTAGGAGATGTTTTTTTAACCTGTTGGAGATGGAAAATGAGACACAGTACAGTACTAACTTTTGAGCTAAACAGCCTCTTTTGATTGCTGGAATTGTGATTGTTCATCAGTAAATGTTTGTCCTCCTTAGACCAATCACTGCTGGAATATTCCAGCTTGTTTATTGATTTCAACTAGAATACTTTTGACATAAAGCATAGAAGATCTTCCTTGTCAATTAATACTAGAGAGTACTAGGAGAGAAACTTTACTTGTAATGGACTTGCCTTTCTGTGCCTCTTCTTATGAACCAATAATGAGGAAAATCTGAGTCTTTAATGCATGACCTTCGTGGCATTAAAAAAAATGTAGCAATGAAAGCCTTTCATATTTTATTTCCATTTATCTTTCATGCAGGTCCATTTCTTCCCATGTGTGTATCCGTGTGTGTGTGTGTGTGTGTGTGTGTGTGGTTTTTGGGGTGTTTGCTGGACTGAGACACTTTCACAAATTCTCTGAGGTAAGTAGATAGACACATGGAAATCAATAGGAATTTTCTTCGTTGTATATCGAAAAGCAAAAATCCAGCACAGTATATTTCTTACAGAGCTTATCTAAGAAAAGTTGGTCGAATCTCTCTTTGTCATCAGTGTCACATCTGAAAATCTCTACATTACTGTAATTGCCTTAACAGTGCTTAACATCAAAAATATCCAAAGAGCAGTAAGCACTGAATATCTCCAAAGGACATCCACATGGATTGTGTTACATTTTATCATTGCAGTTTGCTCTGTGGTCTTTCAAGATAGTTTACAGTTTCATTTCTTTAAACTTGTCCTAGCACATTATTAGAAAATGCTGTCATTTTCACTTATTCCAGCCATAGTGATGACAATAGTTCCATGGAGGCTCATCTGGTTTCTAAGCTTTATTTGTGATTCATCCATGAATGTCTACAAACAACTCATGTTAATTTTTTGTATTACAATGGGGATTTATTTATGTTAACACTAGGAAATGAATCATAGTTATTTGATGTTTAAAGTCGATGATGATATAAAAGATCAAGTCCCTATCTTCCTGAGTGCTGTATAATTGTTAGGGTTTCCAGAAAGGATAATTGTGCACCCTAAGTATCCCAACATATGTGTTCTGATTTATGAAGCAGAAATGTAAAATACTTGTTATTACCTTAAGGGGTGTGGATTGACAGCATGTCAGTATTTAAATTGAGCAAACTTAAAACTATTCAGGTACCACACAAACCAACCAACCAAGAATCCAAGAAAAGTGGCCATTGTCTCAGTGAGTACTAATTATTAGTGGAACAAGAGCATGCTGTTCATCAATGAACTAAAGAAAGAATGGTAAGATCTCTGTCCTCTGGCTTTAGAAGTTCAAGTCAGAAAACCATATATCAAAAGTCCAGCATGCTTTCAAATATTTCACCATCAAAGAATGGCTTTGGAGCACAGGGGAAATTGACTTGATACAAAATTCCTGTCTGTAACCATCTATTTAAATAGACCTCACTGTGATCCCAATGACAACAAATATCAACAATTTGTCCTGTCTTATATAATGTCTTCTTATTCTTATGTTTTCTTCGTTGGCCTTTTTCCCCTTTGCCCAAGCAATTCTGCAGGCCGTGTGCATTTTCTCTTAGCTCTTCACCACACAGTCATTGTGATAAACACATACTGAGTATCTCCAGCAGATGTAACACTTAAATGAAGGCTGCAAGTACATGTTTCAAAATAGAGAAGCTTTCACCCTTGACTCCTAGGAACTTAGCCTATAACTAAAGATTCCAGATAAAAATCATTAATAAAAGCTGAAGCAACAGGATATGCTCCAACTAAGGCCAGCTTCACGCCAGCAATTGCTCGGTGGTCAGAGCACCATGATAGACAAATCATTTTAAGAACTCTACAGTGGGAAAGTCCCCCTATTACTTGATACGTTGGTATTCTCTTGTGATCATTATATATCAGACACTGACCTGGATTCTGTAAAATATGCCAAGAAGAAAATCCCTTCACAAGCTTCCCAACCACTTGCTTCCTGTCTGTTATTCCTAAATTTCTAGTTGCCTGATAAATCCTTGATGATTAGGTATCATGGCAAGTGTTTCTATGGGCCAGTGACTCACGGTGTACTGGACACACAGAAGATACACGAGAGGAGGAACGAAAAAAGACTTGCAATACTGGATGAAACTTGAATAAGCATGCCCTCCCTCTCCCAGTTTTTTCACTTGCCATAAATTTGGCACAATCACCTCTGCAGGAAAATATGTTGAGACACACACACACACACCACACCACACACACACACACCACAACACACACACACACACTCCTTTTCCATAGATGTACTTAAAATAAATTGCATATATTTGAAGAAAGTGAGATAATTGGGTGTTTATAATGTGGATCATATTTAATTCAATTGGAGAAGGGCCCATTGAAAATGTGAGTTGTAAGTAATAGTTTAAAATGATGGAGTAGCCACAGTCTTCTAGAGAGGATGAGGGACACGGTTCCAGGTACTTCTTCTTCATTTCCTTCCTTATCAGTGGAGTTTTTCAATCAACCTAATCTAGCAGAACATTTCTCCTAGGCTACTGAGATATATTTGCAGGAAACAACTTTCCCCTCACAGAAAGAAATAGGTTTAACTCCTTCCTTCCTTCCTAGAATTCTGTAATTCAGGGGGAAAGTGAGTTTTCCACAAGGTATTTAAAGGAGGAAAGAGCGATGAATCTACATGGAAAATTAGGTGAAGGAGTGGAAAATTGCATCGGCCATATAAGTCCAACTACATATGGATCTATTCCTCCATGAAAAACTGGAAATTTCACTTTAACATGGTATTTGCACAGTCAGCAGCAATTCTTAACAATGTCTTTCTTGCTGCTGACATCATATTTTTTCACCCCAATAATAGAGGATAATTTGGACCCTTTCTGCTTTTCATTTAATTCTGTCTATTTCTGATTGCACTTCTCCTACTTCTCTTCCCACATGAGAGATGATTGTATTACTTGTGGAATATGATGAATCACTTCAACAAGAAATATGTGGCATCTGGTTAAGTTTCTTTCTAGCATATAAATTAAGCTTGAATGACAGCTGGGTCAAACATTTTCTTTGAAACGGGTTCCTGTGTGGCAGGTAGAATCAGGTATTCTCAGTTTATCGGCAGGAGGCGTTCCCAGGCTGGCTGATGTCTCTAACCTTTGTTACAGAGAAGTGGGTCACTTTGCCACACCCTGAAAATAATTGATGAGATGAAAGGAGAGATTTGGGCAAAGAAAATGGAAAGATGCATTTAGTAACTATGCTGACATAAGAAATGCTAAGAGAATAAAGGGTACTGGTAACATTAAATAATACTACAAAATACCTATAATATCCAAAGAAAATTGCAATAAATAAATAAGTGTAGCCATTCAATCAATTTGAGACCTGCTGGTAAATATGTCCCCCTTTAAAAATTCCCTAGTAGAAAAAGAAGACACAATACAAAAGATATTTGTAGTCTCTAATTTTTGTGATTTTTTTTCCCCTAAGCTAGAAGCTTTTCTTTTCTTTTTTTCCTTAAAACTGTCTCATGGAAAAGGCAGAATCTAAATAATCAAGATGTAACTTTCTGAAATACCTTCACTTTGTAAACTTCATGATTTTTAAACATTTTATTTGTGGTCATAACAATTACTCCTCTATAAGGAAATTCGATTTATTTTACATAGAAGCCAGCAAAGGCACAAAAACATCAAACAAGGGAAGATTCTCCAACATTCCACATGATGGCAGAAGATCTTTTCCTTATTAAATAGTCAGGTTACAGGTTTGTATTATTCTATTAAACATGGGAAGATAAGCAATCTCCCATATTCTCTAAGCCATTTTAGAGTAATTTGTTCTCAAGACAAACCAGAAGGAACGACGTGTTTTCCTGTGTGCAAAACAAACAACTTGCAAAAAAAAAAAAAAAAAATCTTCCTCAAGTTTTCCTAAATCATAATGAAATTATGAAAAGTGCTTTTCAAAATCACACTTAAATGGGATCTTTTAGACGACATTTCCCAAATGTCAATGATCATTTTTATCTCTTTATTGTTATTAATCACAACAAACAAATCCTGTGAATGCACTTATAGAACAGGCCACTTAGTAAAATCCTCCCTGCAAACAGAAAGCATCTTTGAGAACCTTTTTCTCAGAGCATCTTTCTCTGACTTGTGATGTGGCTACTGTCCAGCCAGAACTCAGGAAAACAGTGGATCCCTTGCTCCACAACCAGATTTCAAGGGACAGCTAATTCAGAATTCTACCAGCTTTATGCATTGCTGCTATTTCCTGTCTAATGGTGCAAATGCTGTATACATGGGCTGTAAAATGGAGTTTCTGTACAACTCATAAATACAGCATTTCCTATTATGTCTTTTGGCTACCTAGTTGATTGTCTACTCATTTTTTTCTTATTTGTTCTTTTAATTTACAAACGATGACTAGATAGAGAAATGTGTTAATTCTATACTTTTTGAACTTCTTAAGTTTAAATATGGTCATTTCCACTGCATGCTGATAAAGGCAAGCAATGGCACTGTCTACTATACAAAGCTCAGATCATTATCAAAGTTATGTGCGCATTGTAATTTACCTACCTAAGTATAGTTTTGGCAAAATATTAAATGTGCAAGCCTCAGCCAGGTAATGATTTACACTAGTGCCTTCATTTAACTATGAGGAGAAGCTGGCCCTAGATAATAACAATAATACCTTGCAATTTTATATTGCATTTTATATTTATGTTTTATATTTATATTTTATATTGCATTTTTATATTTAGAGTGTTTACAATGTGTTCTTACATCCACTATGGCATTTGATTCTGAAATACACCTTATATTCTAGCCATCATCATCATTTTACAAATTTTGTAACTGAGAATTAGAAGTTAACTTTTTAAGAACAAGATTATGTCCTTTTTAAGGACATGAATGGAGCTGGAGTCCATTGTCCTTAGCAAACTAATGCAGGAGCAGCAAACCAAATACCACATGTTCTCATGTATAAGTGGGAGCTAAATGTGAGAACATATGGACACACAGAGGGGAACAATACACGCTGGGGCCTATCAGAGGGTGGAGGGTGGAGGAGGGAGAGGATCAGGAAAAATAACTAATAGGTACTAGACTTAATGCCTGGGTGGTGAAATAATCTGTACCACATGCCAACACGGCACAAGTTTACCTGTGTAACAAACCTGTACATGTACCCCTGAACTTAAAATAAAAGTTAAAAATAAATAAGTAAATAAAAAATAGATATTTTTTAAATGAAGTTAACATTTTTCTAAGATCATAGAGCTATTTGAAATGACAGAAGTTGAAATCAGAAATTCAAGCTCCTGTTTTTATAATATCAAGAGGAGAATAAAATCATGACTCTAGATAAGAACATGTCTAACTAATGATGTTAGCTTTATAGAAACATTCGGCCAAGTTTATCTTCAAGGAACCTCACCATGGGGATCAGGAGTATCATGTAATCAACTTGCTCCCCCATTGCAATGTCACTTTCGGGATGACCAAATGCAAGAACATGGAGACCAACAGTCTTTCTCTAAGTAAAGGTTGATTCTGAGAGTCTCTGGCTGGGTGACCGTTCTCTTTCTCCATTTTAAGACCATACAAAGCGTCTTTCCTGAGACCAGTCGAAATGCAAACAGGAGTTGCTTTCTGCTAGCATATTTGTTTGACACCATAGAAATGTCAATGTCATGGAACTGTCCATCTGTTTATCAACCCTAGTGTCAATCTCATTGAAATGACATGAAAGCAAGAAACCAATCTCGGTGAGTCCTTCGGTAACTCCTCAGGGGACCTAAGTATAGTGCAGAGGTGATCATTTCTAACATGTCACCATGTAAAAGAATTGATGGCATTTTCTTAGGATCAATCTGTGTGATAAATTAAAGAGCTCTGAAGAAAAATGACAACAACAATAACAACAATTCCCAGTTGCCTACATGGGAAAAAAGTATGAATGAATATATATTAAATGATTATTTCTTATTAGAAAACATCAGTTTATTTGGCTCAGCTACTATACTGACCTACTCTTATATTGTCTTAATAAAGTGCTAACATAATGAATTTTAAAGAGGCAAAATAATTAATATTAATATTAAGGTCAACAGAATGATGGTTTATTCTGAGCAAACTATCGCAAGGACAGAAAACCAAACACCGCATGTTCTCACTCATAGGTGAAAACTGAACAATGAGAACACTTGGACACAGGGTGGGGAACATCACACATCGGGGCCTGTCGTGGGGTTGGGGGAGTGGGGAGGGATAGCATTAGGAGATATATCTAATGTAAATGACGAGTTAATGGGTGCAGCACACCAACATGGCACATGTATACATATGTAACAAACCTGCACATTGTGCCCATGTACCCTAGAACTTAAAGTAACAATACGTTTCCTATGTATTTCTATAAAGAGTACAAATACCAAGAGAGGTTAATCTCACTATTTATGTGTGCACACATTAAAAGGGAAATTCAGAATTCATAAAAGTAATTTGAACAAGTTCTATATTCTCAAATACTTTTGGGGTTTATTTATTTGTTTGAATTAACTAAAGAAGTCCCATCCTATGTTGGTTCTAGATTTTTAAAGCTAGACATTCATAAAAGTTCATTCAATTTCCAGTCTAACTAAGATTTTCTGTTCAGGGAAATACAACCAGAATCACTGAGACTCACTCAGAATCTCACAGTGGTAAAGACAGAACTGAGACTAGAACAAAATTCCCTTGACCCTAGTCAAATTATTTTATTGCTACATTATTTCATACATATTTCCAGGTTTATAACCTATGGGTTGTTTGTCAAAATATATAGATGTTTAGAACTAGATTTGCAACGCTCAGGAAAGTTTATGGATAAACAAACAAAAACAAAGACACAAAAACATCACCATTAGAACACAGGTTTCTGTCTCCAATATTAAGACTTGATTATTCTTTCCAGATATTAATTATCAGAAAAACATGAGAATTCAAGTAAGAAAATGAAAGGCAGAGTATATTGCAATTTTTTCTCAACCCAGAAATCAGCTACAAATTAGCTACAATAAGCAATTCTAGCTCTTATTTCTATATCTCCTGAAAGAAAATAAAATCATGACTCTAGATAAGAGCCTATCTAAATAATTTTAGTTTTATATAAACATTTGGACAAGTTTATCTCCAAGCAACCTCACAGGAATATCCCATTAATTAACTTTTTCCCTCACTGATCAGGGAAGTGAAATTTATGTATGGAAATATGGGATACCCTGTCTCCATCACTATTTTTGAGATTATAGAATTTAGCCAAATATTGGAGGACTTCAGACTCTTTTTTTTTTTTTTTTTTTTTTTTATTGATCATTCTTGGGTGTTTCTCGCAGAGGGGGATTTGGCAGGGTCATAGGACAATAGTGGAGGGAAGGTCAGCAGATAAACAAGTGAACAAAGGTCTCTGGTTTTCCTAGGCAGAGTGTTTGTGTCCCTGGGTACTTGAGATTAGGGAGTGGTGATGACTCTTAACGAGCATGCTGCCTTCAAGCATCTGTTTAACAAAGCACATCTTGCACTGCCCTTAATCCATTTAACCCTGAGTGGACACAGCACATGTTTCAGAGAGCACACGGTTGGGGGTAAGGTCATAGATCAACAGGATCCCAAGGCATAAGAATTTTTCTTAGTACAGAACAAAATGAAGTCTCCCATGTCTACTTCTTTCTACACAGACACAGCAACCATCCAATTTCTCAATCTTTTCCCCACCTTTCCCCCTTTTCTATTCCACAAAACCGCCATTGTCATCATGGCCTGTTCTCAATGAGCTGTTGGGTACACCTCCCAGACGGGGTGGTAGCCGGGCAGAGGGGCTCCTCACTTCCCAGTAGGGGCGGCCGGGCAGAGGCGCCCCTCACCTCACGGACGGGGCGGCTGGCCGGGTGGGGGTGCTGAGCCCCCCACCTCCCTCCTGGACGGGGCGGCTGGCCTGGGGGGGCTGACCCCCACCTCCCTCCCGGACAGGGTGGCTGCCGGGCGGAGACGCTCCTCACTTCCCAGACGGGGTGGCAGCCGGGCGGAGGGTCTCCTCACTTCTCAGACAGGGCGGCCGGGCAGAGACGCTCCTCACCTCCCAGACAGGGTCGCGGCCGGGCCGAGGCACTCCTCACATCCCAGACAGGGCGGCGGGGCAGAGGTGCTCCCCACATCTCAGACGATGGGCGGCCGGGCAGAGACGCTCCTCACTTCCTAGATGGGATGGCGGCCGGGAAGAGGCGCTCCTCACTTCCTAGGTGGGATGGCGGCCGGGAAGAGGCGCTCCTCACTTCCTAGGTGGGATGGCGGCCGGGCAGAGACGCTTCTCACTTTCCAGACTGGGCAGCCAGGCAGAGGGGCTCCTCACATCCCAGACGATGGGCGGCCAGGCAGAGACGCTCCTCACTTCCCAGACGGGGTAGCGGCCGGGCAGAGGCTGCAATCTCGGCACTTTGGGAGGCCAAGGCAGGCGGCTGGGAGGTGGAGGTTGTAGCGAGCCGAGATCACGCCACTGCACTCCAGCCTGGGTACCATTGAGCACTGAGTTAAGGAGACTCCGTCTGCAATCCCGGCACCTCGGGAGGCCGAGGCTGGCGGATCACTCGTGGTTAGGAGCTGGAGACCAGCCCGGCCATCACAGCGAAACCCCGTCTCCACCAAAAAAATACGAAAACCAGTCAGGCGTGGCGGCGTGCACCTGCAATCGCAGGCGCTCGGCAGGCTGAGGCAGGAGAATCAGGCAGGGAGGTTGCAGTGAGCCGAGATGGCAGCAGCATAGTCCAGCTTCAGCTCGGCATGAGAGGGAGACCGTGGAAAGAGGGGAGAGGGAGAGGGAGGGGGAGGGGGAGAGAGGGGACTTCAGACTCTTAATGAGAGTCTTCCAGTTAAGTGGCAAAGAGATCTCAAGGAAGCCTCTTTGATTTGTGTCTCATAGCAGCAAACACTTCCAACAATCCTGCATAGCCACCTGTTTTACAGATGAGGAAAGTGAATCAGAAAGTTTAAGTAACATGCACAAGGTCACCTACATAGTCGGAGTTCATTGCAGGGAAAGCTGCATGTCTAATTCCAAAATAGCTCATGTCCTGTTTACTAAATTAGCATGCATCAAGATAAGATTCTCCTCTGATAGTGTCCTTCAGGTTTGATTTTTAAGTATAATATCATAAATATTTTGAATACTTTTATTTTGAGCTAAATACACATTTCTGTACTTAAAATCAGAGATCTATAAGAATACCCTGATCAGTTGTAAAATGTACCTTGGATACTTCACTTTTCTCTTTATCCTCCATGTCATGCAGACATTGCTTTATCATATGAATTTATTACTGGAATACAGAGTACAGATAAAAGAAACTCCGAAGTCCTATGATCATTTAAATTGTACAGTTTGGAACTTTTTCCAGCCTTGTATTTTTTAGGTCTATTTATTAAAATTACATGCTTCAGATATTTTGTAATTTGATGCATGGTATTAATAACTGGTTTTAACTTTTTAAAAGATTATTTAAACAAATTTGACATATTTAAATCAAAATGTCCTTAAAGAATAAATAAGGCAATTGTTACTTAATTTTAAGAATTTTAAAAATGAATTTTCAATAGGATTTATTTATCTTGCTAGGTCACTAGTAAATTTGAGATATAATTCGATTTATAAAACTGCTATGCTTTATTTTGTGTATCTTTGCCTAAAGCAAAGTGCAACTGTATCTTTCTTGACAATATTCATTTAAAAAATGCCTATGTTATGGTTACGAACTTGGGTTGATGTTCCATTGCATTCTCTATGTTGACACCTAGATCCTTTTAATACAACAGATATTTATTGAGCTTCTACAATGGAAGTAGAAACACAAAAGAGAAGAGAAAGAAAGTAAAGGAGAGGAAAGGAGAGAAGGGGAGGGGGAGGGGAGGGAAGGGGAGGGGCAAGGAAAGGGGAGGAGAGGGGAGGAGAGGGGAGGGAAAGGAAAAGGAAGAAGAAAAAAATTAAAGATTGATGGGATTTTGCTTTTAGGTACACTTGGTATGTAGTCCCTAAATGTGTTATATGCCACATTTATTTCAGTCAATTTGCCACTATTTTGGTGTTTTATTGTAAACTAAGGGGAGCAGGTGTTATAATTGAGGTGGCAGTAAACATCATTTGTGGATGCATTTCCCATGTCATACCCCTGAACAACAATCTTGTGCATGATCATAAAATTAATGACTTTCATAGACCCACAGGTCCTGACCAAGAAGGGACCTTGAAAGCAAACAGAGCTCCTGTCTTTAATCCAAGAAAGTAATATTATATCTATATTAAAGACAATGCAACTAAGAAACAACGCATGTACGTGGCTTTAACAAGATCCCAATAACTCTCTTCAAACTCTGACTTGGTCGATATGAATAGAGAGGGAGTCCATGTCCACAAACTACAGGCATTCATTTAAGTAAAAGTCCACAGAAGCATGTATCTATCTGCAGCACGATTTAAGTCTCTTGATTTGCAGAATGGAATTCTGATATGTTTTATTACATGTCAAAATTACAATAGAATAAGAAATAAAACTAAGATTTCTTGATTTTCATTTGGGTGCTCTTCTCCTTACTCTATACATACATTTGAAATGGGATTTACACAGGAGAAAGAGAAGCAATTGTGGCTGTGTTGGCTGTCGAGTTCCACATCTCTGAATGTAATGATTACTCTGACTTGTCTACTCCATTTGTGAACCATTCTCTTTTTAGTTATTATTTTCTGGCTGAGTCCTGTTTTTCAAACCAGAATAAGGACAGAGTATTAAATCAACTTGAATTGCCCCAGTAACTGACACAATACTTTGTACAATAAAGATGTTTAATATGAGCTTTATTAATTACATTTATAAAAAGGTCATTACATATGACATTACATTTAGAGTAAGTTATTCAATTCTGAAAACATGTGTATACAGTATTTTATTTAAAATATTAAAATAATTATAAAGAATTATATAAAAATCAAGAGATTTTGCTTAACAAAGCCATTTGTAAAAGAATTCTCCCTGTGCTTGAACATATTTCTAAATATTTTTTATTATTTCCATTGTTACAATAGGAAACAATGGACTACATTAGAAAATAAATGGTATTTAGTAATATACTATTTAAAACTCTCAAACAATAATCTTTCAGAAAAAGTTATCCAAATTTAAAAGGTGTACTCCTTATAAGCAATTTTTTAAAAAGTTATTTTAATTAAAATATTTTAAAATGTATCATATATTGCTTGATCTTCTAAAACAGAGCATATTGAACAGCATTTGGCATTTTTACTACAAGGCTCAGAAGTCTTCATTATTAATTTTTTTCTTTTATAATTATTTCTCCTTCATTGGACTGAGTTGTCAGCTATCACTTGCTGTCAGTGTGTGGCTACCTCTCCATAGATTTTGACTGATAGCAAGTAATGCAGACAGCACAGCAGCTCAAGTCATTATCACCTTTCAGAACTGCCCCTCAGTGCTGCCCAGTTTCGAATAACACACTTTTCTTCACTCCTCCCAAACTCTCCAACTTCTCAATTTCCTTCAGCCAGTAAGCCCTACCTCCTTGTTACCACATGTTGATAGGATGGGTACCACCCACTTAAATATTTCCTCAGCTCTGCTGTAATGTGGGTGGTTGGTAAAGGGCTGATGGAATGGGTTTTTTGCTTGTCTGGAAGATTTATAAATTCATAGTCAATACATCATATATGGTGCAAGGTGTGAATTAAGTTCACCTCTTTGGCATATGAATATCTAACTGTTCAGTACCATTTATTAAAAGATTCTTCTTTTCCACTAAATTAATTTTACACAGTTGTCAAAAGTCAGCTATCTCTGTATGTATGGGTCTATTTTCTACTCTGTTCCACAAGCTAGCAGCTTGTCAATATATCAGGATTGTGGTAGTCAGTTATTTTAATGAAGATAATAGTATCCCACAAGCTCAAAGCAGCGGTTCCTTTCTCACACGGGTAATTCCAATAAACTTGTTTTGAAGCACTGTCTTTAATTACTGGCCCCAGGGTCTGAATTTTTAGAAGTTATTTATATATTAAGTGCTTAATATTGCTAACATTCAGGGCTTCCTTTAAAACCCACAACGAGTATCCTTTTCATCTCTCCTCTAGACCCAAGTATAGAAACTCATGTCTAGAGAGGGAATTGTGGGAATTTTAAATGCAGGTAAATGCTTATGTTCTTTCAATTCCTTCATAGTCCAGCATAAGATGAAGATGAATATTTCAGTGCAATTAAGAGCTGAAAAGATACAAGGCTACAGTAACCAAAACAGCATGGTACTGGTACCAAAACAGAGATATAGACCAATGGAACAGAACAGAGCCCTCAGAAATAATGCCGCATATCTACAACCATCTGATCTTTGACAAACCTGACAAAAACAAGAAATGGGGAAACAATTCCCTATTTAATAAATGGAGCTGGGAAAACTGGCTAGCCATATGTAGAAAGCTGAAACTGGATCCCTTCCTTACACCTTATACAAAAATTAATTCAAGATGGATTAAAGATTTAAATGTTAGACCTAAAACCATAAACACCCTAGAAGAAAACCTAGGCAATACCATTCAGGACATAGGCATGGGCAAGGACTTCATGTCTAAAACACCAAAAGCAATGGCAACAGAAGCCAAAATTGACAGATGGGATCTAATTAAACTCAAGAGCTTCTGCACAGCAAAAGAAACTACCATCAGAGTGAACAGGCAACCTACAGAATGGGAGAAAATTTTTGCAATCTACTCATCTGACAAAGGGCTAGTATCCAGAATCTACAATGAACTCAAACAAATTTACAAGAAAAAACAAACAACCCCATCAAAAAGTGGGCAAAGGATATGAACAGACACACTTCTCAAAAGAAGACATTTATGCAGCCAAAAGACACATGAAAAAATGCTCATCATCACTGGCCATCAGAGAAATGCAAATCAAAACCACAATGAGATACCATCTCACACCAGTTAGAATGGTGATCATTAAAAAGTCAGGAAACAACAGGTGCTGGAGAGGATGTGGAGAAATAGGAACACTTTTACACAGTTGGTAGGACTGTAAACTAGTTCAACCATTGTGGAAGACAGTGTGGCGATTCCTCAGGGATCTAGAACTAGAAATACCATTTGACCCAGCAATCCCATTACTGGGTATATACCCAAAGGATTATAAATCATGCTACTATAAAGACACATGCACATGTATGTTTATTGCGGCACTATTCACAATAGCAAAGACTTGGAACCAAGCCAAATGTCCATCAATGATAGACTGGATTAAGAAAATGTGGCACATATACACCATGAAATACTATGCAGCCATAAAAAATGATGAGTTCACGTCCTTTGTAGGGACATGGATGAAGCTGGAAACCATCATTCTCAGCAAACTATCGCAAGGACAAAAAACCAAACACCGCATGTTCTCACTCATAGGTGCGAATTGAACAATGAGAACACATGGACACAGGAAGGGGAACATGACACACCCGGGCCTGTTGTGGGGTGGAGGGAGGGGGAGGGATAGCATTAGGAGATATACCTAATGTTAAATGACGAGTTAATGGGTGCAGCACACCAACATGGCACATGTATACATATGTAACTAACCTGCACATTGTGCACATGTACCCTAAAACTTAAAGTATAGTAAAAAAAAAAGAGCTGAAAAGAAATTTGAAATAACATTGTTTAACATGTAACAGACCACAATTAAATGTTAGACTCTCAAAATGAGTTTAAAGATGTATAGGCTTTGGAAAATCATTTCCAATGATGCCCTGAAGAGTGTCTTTCCTAAGGTAAATCCAGTTAGATTCCATACATAGTTTACATGCATATTATCATGTACATATCTTATAACTTATTGCATATCTATTAATTCACCGCATTCGAACACACACTCAACAGTAACCCTCAAATTTGGTTAATTCAGTGATTATTAAATATAAAGAAAATCTAGAAAAATTATATCCAGCACTAAATATAAACTTAAAATTTATATAACAAATGTTATACCAAATAATACATAACTCTCCCTTTTCCTCAAATTCCAGCTCTAGTCTTCTATTTCTACAAAATTATGAAGTTTTCTAGATATCTTAGGAAAAGCATTGTACTTTAAATGGATCATGTAAAAATAAGCATACAATATTAGGCCACACAATATTAGAGACATAAAGACTTTTGCAATAATACACGTTACAGATGAAAGCACTGGTGACCAGGATCATTAATTGACTTGATAAAGGATACATATAGTTAATAAATTGATGGAACTGGTAGCCACACCTCCACGCCAATATTGTTTCCCCTCCAAATAAAGGCAATGAAGTAATTGTTAATAATCAAAGTGCCAAATGACACTATTTAACACTTAGGATTGTAGAGATTGGTAACAACCTAATTCCACCCTCAAGAAGATTAGCAGGAAACAAAAGACAATGTACACTTGAGTATGGAACCTGTATGGTTCAATATTATGTGTTTGGGAAAGTGCTGCAAGTCAAAGTGAGTTCAGCTAATGGAAGAAGAAGCAAAGGAAGAGGAAGGGGGAGAAGGAGAAGGATGTGGGAAAAATAAAAATCAAGATCTCTTTGAATTGAGGCAACCAGTGAAAGACTCTAGGAAGTGGAGGCACCTGAGATAATACTTGAAAATGGAAATTTGAAATCTGAGAGTAGAGAAGGAAAAACAACAAGGAAAACATTTGTGCCAGGGAAACTAACAAGTACACAGATGAAGAGGCAAGAAAATTATGCCAAATTACCCTGTTTCCCTTTGTCACACTGCCTCCTCGCTGACACCTTCATTCTCCTGCAACCTTACACTTTGATGATGACTTGCTCTGCTTCCATGGAACTACTTCACTTGGCCTATGGCACAAGGCACTTCCTTCCGGCAACATTCGCACCTTGGGAGGGGGCTATTTTTGCATGCACCTAGTCCATTGCAATCCATTTGTTCTTGAAGGGCAAGATAGAAACTTTGTTTTATTATCTACACTCACGAAAAACAAATTTTGTGCACCATTCCCAACACTATTCTTTTTTCTTTTTTTATTTTAGTAAAGGTGGAGAAAGCTTTTAGTGAAAGTCATCCACATCTCAACTCTCGTAACATTAACATTATGGCCTGGCTACTTTCCAGCATCACCATGATAGAAAAAAAGCACCCTCCAATTTAATAACTAAATTAATTTTTCCTCCCTCCACAGAGTGTGCAATTATTAAACTCAGAAAGATCTTGGCAGCCTCTTGCCCTGGTAAATAAAACGTTGCATTCTCATCATATGATTAATTAATGTTCCTGATTCAAGGAGATATGAAATCGCTTTACATTCCTTGTGTTATTGAATAACCCAACGTGCATTATTGCTCAGGCACTTTTTATATTTATGCAGTTAAATCGCAAGGAATAAACTGCAAAGCCCTAACATTATTCTGCAGCACTCTGTGAGTTACAGAAAATAAAACTGGAGGAGATGCCTGAAAGGGAAAGAAGAAGAAAAGCAACAGGAGAGGAAAAAAAGAAAAAGAAATGGGGAAGGAAAATTAGACTTAGCTGATTGACTGTGTCAGGCATTCTGTTTGACTTCTTTCCTGCCCATGGTTTGCAACCTAATTTAGTAATTTCTTAATGACTTATTTCCTTATTTACAAGTCAGGAATGATACAAAATAAATATACAACAATCAAGAAACCTACTTATGTGATCTTTAGGTATTACAACTTTTTGGCCCCTGTATCAACAGCCAGGAAGTGGTTTTCTTTGGGTTTCCAATCACATGAACAATTCTCCAGGTTCAAGTGAGTATACACATGGTGCTCTGGACAATTAAACACAGAGACGTTATGGAACATAGTGTATTATTCATCACTCACTTACGGAATATCCCCAACTCAGAAGAAAGGGGAACATCGTGCCTTCAAATACGTTGTCTCAAATATTTAAAAAAAAATTACAACAAAAAGGGCAATTTTATGCCACTTTGCTTTCTGTTTTCTTCAAGTTCAGAATTGAATTATTATAGTTATGTATTCCCTCCCAAAAGGGGCAAATGACTTTGTCACAGATAACCAACATAACAAATCATTCAAATAGAAAACTATGGTGTGCGTGCCTGTAATCCCAGCTACTCAGGAGGCTGAGGCAGGAGAATCGCTGGAACCTGGGAGGCCGAGGCTGCAGGGAGCCTAGATTGTGCCACGCACTCCAGCCTGAGTGACAGAGAGTGACTCTATCTCAAAAAAAAAAAAAAAAAAGAAAAGAAAAGAAAGAAAGAAAACAAAGAAAAGAAAAAAAAAGAAAAGAAACTATCCCATTTTCTGAGAAACCTATTGTCTCCCTCATTAGGGAGATGGGATTTCATCCCTTCAGGCTTGAAGGACATCCGTGTGTTCAAGAGCAGGGCTACGTCCACCAGCGAAAAACTCATCAGACCCAGGAACCATCTCATCACGTCAGGTGACTAACTGTCCCTGCAGAAGATTAGTAGAGAAAGAAATTCAAGGAGAATGACAAATCATCTTGCAAACATAAACTGAAAAAATGTCTAGAAAATAGACAGGAAAGAGTAACCAGTATGTGTAATGTTAAAAGAAAGAAAATGCATTTATCTATTTTTAAACCACTTTCCTCGTCCATCTTCAATACAATATGCAACATACGGTCACTTTAATTTTGCTTTTTACCAAACAGAGATGCTTTCAAAGGAAAGAAAAACCCATATATAAGTAATATGAAAGAAATAGACCCTGACACTCCTGAATAATCCGGGAATCTGCTAGAAAGATTTTCACAATCCTACATTCACAAAACTGCAATATTTAAACCTTAATGTTGCTTTCTAGTTAAACTCCTAGAGTACTGATGAGGATTATTGAATTGAGCTTTGGGTAATTGGTAACAGTCAGAGAAGGGAAAAATGATTCTGGGTAAAGGACAGTGACAGCCTCAGTCCCCTCTTCTCCCATTTCTTAGTGAAGTTATGCTGAGCAAAAGCACAGACTCTCGTAAGCACATAGGCCTTACTGAAACACTTTGTTTCTCAATATTAAATACACTTTGCATTTTATTTTTGTTTCCTTCTAATCCCCCACATTTTGTTTGCCTTTCCTTTAAATATGGAGTTCGAAACATTTCTGTACCTTCTGAAATAGCTCATGTATTTTTAATCACTTAGCACATTTTAATACATTATAGAAATAAAAATACAATCCAGATATTAGTACTTATTTTCCTCTGTTTTTAAAAATTTGCATGTCATTTCAAAAGTCACTAAGAAGTGAAAATTTTGACAACATTGTCTAATGCTGGGTCAGGAAATTCGAGTCTATTTTAAATTTAAACCCAGAATTGCTGTGTGAAATGGTAAAAATTTAACTGTTTTTGACTCACTGTCTCTCGATTTAAGAAAGTAGTTCTTACTTCACAGGGAGGCTGAGAAGGTAAACATGATGGAAAAGAAGTATTTATTTCTTTTCTGGAGAAATAAGACGTTCTCAAAATTCATGAATTATTATTAATCATGCTTTGAAAACTATCATAACAGTAGAAAATATTATATTTAGGCTTGTCTCCCATTTTTACCAAAAAGGCATTTAAACTAAGATGACAGGCTGTCACATAAGTATGACCCAAGACACGGAAAATAAATAATTACATCTAATCCAAATTTGTGATACCATTAGTTATTTTCCTCCTCTAGAAAAATGTCTTCAATTTCAAATATGCAATGGTATACTAATAAAGTACACCAAATCATAATATATCTTATTTATGGAACAAAAATGGTTCTGAAAATCAAATTTTATTAAACAGAATTAGTCATATTAGTAGTAGGGAAACCTGGGTTTGGACATAATTCCCAGTCAACCAAAGAGTGCAGTGTTCACTAAGAAAATAAACTTAAGAAAAATAAAAACCCACTGGGGAAAATTCTGCTCCCTTTAGTATGCAGAAAGCAGAGGCTGGAAGTAGCTTCACCTGCCAGTTGTGATTAATTTGCTATTTCTCACAATGTCTCACTTTGATTATTAATGATAATGATTTGATTTATGAGTCCTGTTCACTGAATATTCTCAATTTCCAAAGATGTGCTCTTTTGGGGGAAAAAAGAGGGAGGGGAAGGTATTGGGGAGATAGTGACTCAGGTAATGGAATATGGCATCACTTACCTCTAGACTCTAGTTCAAATCTATCTCCCCATGACTTCCTAAGGTGTGCAAGGAAATCTAGGTACTGAGGCAGATATATTGTAAATAATGAATGAGAGAAGGATATCATGATTCCACCTCTGTTCTGAGGTTTTGTCTCTTTGTGTGTTGTGGGAATGAAGAACATTTGGGACCAGGGCTTCCAGATTTCAAGCCTTTTTTCCATGCAGAATTATAAAATGTAAACCCTGCTACTTGAATTGCATATTAGCGTATTGCCATTCATGCATATATTAAGAAGCTGAGATTTTTAAGACTGTATGAAAAGATGCTAGTTCTCAGAAATGAATTACAGAGAATTAAGGCAATTAAAACTCCGAGGGGCAATACCCGGTGTTGTTAGAATCTCGTCATGTCTACCAGCTGACCTCCTCATTGATCACAGAAAAGAAAATTCAGTCGAAATTAATTTGGCACTTTTCATAAATGCAAAAATAACTCAGGAATAATTGATTTCTAAGGGTTGAAAATTACAAAGGCTCTCATCTTCCTAGAGAAATATCTTCTAGGAAAATAAGTGTAAGAAAGAAAATAATGTAATCATCTTTGCCCAGATCATACCCTCCCCTAGGAATCCGTGGACCTGAAAGGATTTCAGAGCCTTTGGCCATCTCCTCCAACTACTCACCGGGAGATTCAGAGCCTGTGGGTCCCACATTTCTTAACACACGTATTAATTGTAGCTAATCTTATTATTAGGTGCTTTCCAGAGGATAAGCACCTCCGATATCTGATCTCATTTAGTCTACACCACAAAATAATGAGATAAGTACTATTTTCCCCTTCTACAGATGAGGAAATTAAGGCTCAGAGAGATTCAGTGATTGGCCCAGATCACTAAGCGAGTAAGCAATGCTAACCCCACAGCAAAATCATGGTGTCCTGGCTCTTTATCCCTTTTATAGACATGGCTACACACTTCACACTTTACTCTAAAACCATGCTTTGTCGTAATGAATTCTGTCTCCTGCTCTCAAGAGGAAATCCCTGTTGCTTCAAATGAGCTAAGAATGAGAGTGGCAGCTCTCAGCATTTGATGGAAAACAAATAGCAACGGCTACTTTTCTGGCTTGTGATGAGTCTGGGAGGCCTCTCAGTTTTAGAAAAAGATCACTCAGTATGTGGAACTTTTTGAAAATCTCCCCTTATACCCACATCTGAAGGCTCTGTACCTAGAGCCAGCTAAAATGTTGCACTGACAAACAAAACCCTGGTTTGCAACTCTCAGAGCATTGGTTCTCACCTGGAGGGCTTCTTTAAAATTCAGTGACCTGGGACACATTCTCGGAGACTCTTTAAAGTCTTTAAAATTCAGGGACCTTGGCCACTTTCCCAGATTTATTAAACCTGGGATCAGGTTCCCAACCCTTCATTTTTTTAAAAAAAAAAAAGTATCCCTCACACTGGGCTTCTTTTGTGAGTATAACAAATCCCCTTAAAAGGCTGCACCAGTTTGTCCCACTAACCTCTCCTTGCAGTGTCTCCCACACTTACTTGAAGAAGAACAAGAGTCTAACAAGTACCAGTGCTTTCAGAGTCCATCATCCTGTATTCTCAAAGGGCATTCCCACCCTCTCTCCTGGTTTCAACAACCCATGGATATATTAGTGATTTCCAGATTTTTCTTTCCATTTGAGACTTCTTGCCCTGTTCCAGACTCATATGCAACTTCCAAGTGGCAAGCAGCTTCACTTGGGTATTGTACTAGAATATCACAAACTTCATTTCAAAACTTCACACCTGTTTTTCTAAGTCTCTTTTTCCTCCCATATTCCACTTTAACGCACTTCTATAAATCCCCCTCCCATCTAGAAATCTGAAAATCTTCCTGGTGTCCTATACCCTTATCACCTACATCAAATTAGTCCCATAAATGCTAATGTTTACTTTCTAAATGTTTACTTTCTAAATAGTTCATCTCATCTTCTCCATTCAGACAATGAATGATGCCACGCAGGTCTGTATAACCTCTCGCATAGATTACAGCAATGGATTCCTCATCATTGAGGAATGGTCGTTCTACCTTCCTTTTCTTCATCCTGGTCCCCTTCAAAACCATTGTCCTTAGTGTAACCAAAGGAATCTAATGTGCTGTGTTGCTCCCTGTTTAAAGTCTCCCCAAGCTCCCAAACTCTCAAGCAGAAATTTTGACCCTGCCTTCTTCCCTGACCGAAACTTATGAAACTCCTTTTTCACACATTACACTGAGTAACTCAACATTTGCATATACTAAGCTCCATGTCTTTCCATGATGTTCTCTGCTTACCCATTTATAATGCCCCCAATAGGAGGTAACTTAAAGTAGTATGAAGTACTTCAGACTCAAATTATCCAAAGTTCTCATCTTCCAAGTTTTTTTTTAGTTTATTTTCATGGAAATGAAATATGACATGATTGAATTTTATGATATTGCTTCCATATCTCTGTAGAGCTGTGTGACTCTGGATAGGATACTCACCTCTTGGTGCCTCCATTTCCATGTCGTAATTTAAGTGCATTGAACTAGACTCAGTGATCTCTGAGCTCTTGTGAGGCACAGCCAATGAGCACTTATTGATAATTTGGGGTTCAGATGTACCCTTTACAAGGCTCTTTCACAATCATCTTTGTCTCCTGTGATGACCCTGTTCAGTAAGTACATTTCTCACTTTACAAATAATGAAACAGACACAAAATGTTTAGGCAACTGGTTTTCAGTAACAGAGTCAGTAAGTGTGGCTTAGTTCATTTATAGAACTGCAGGAGAATTCAGCACCTCTGGCTCCTAGCACTCCACCGCAGGGATTTGCAATAGGCCTACTGGTCTCTATGGATAATTCATATATTGAACTTCATTCTCCAAAGCTGGAAGAAAACAAAACAGAACAAATTAACACACATATACACGTATATACATATCTGTATATACGTGTATATATGTATGTGTATATACGTGTATATATGTATGTGTATATACGTGTATATATGTATTCATGTGTATATTGTGTATATATGTATACATACTAGATGTATATACACATATGTACACATTAGATGTATATACCCGTATAGACACATATATACATAAACACATACACAGTTACTTTAAAAGCATATGTATATATTTATCACATTGTCAAGATACAGAAGGAGGGATGGATACATTTCTTTACAGTAAAAATTGCCATTGCATAGAAGATATTTTTTCTATAGCAGGCATATTTACATTTGGTCTTAAAACAAGTCCTTTTAGTCAAAAGAGGTATATTTTATGGTATAATTTCAAGCACCAACAATATAGCAGAAATATTTGCAATACAGAATCTTTCAACAGCCTTTATATTTCCTCATATAGATATAAATTTTAAATATTACTATTCGAATTCACTTTTTGGAGCCCTCAACTGGAAGTTTTTTTTTTTATAAGAAAAAAGGCAAACCCCAGAAGCTTGATAGAAAAGGCTATCAAGGCCGGGCATAGTGTGGCTCAGACCAGCCTGGTCAACATGATGAAACCCCATCTCTACAAAAAATACAAAAATTAGCCGGTCATAATGGCACGTGTCTGTAATCCCAGCTACTTGGGAGGCTGAGATGAGAGGGCCACTTGAAGCTGGTAAGGAGAGGTTGCAGTGAGCCAAGACAGCGCCTCTGTACTCTAGTCTGGGTGACAGAGTAAGACTCCCTCTAAGAAAAAAAAAAAAAAAAAAAAGGGAAAGAAAGAAAAGGCTATCAAGGGAGGGAAGGGAGAAGACTCTGTTTGACTAGCTCATCTACTTTTTTTCTTTTTGAGGCTTTTACCTTCTAGTCCTTATATTTCCAGATATATGTACAAATTTTGGCAAACTCTTGAATCATGACTATTATGCTTTGTAATTTTTTAAAAATATATTGTTCATACTCCAAGTCCCACTGCTTCAGTTGTATGTAATATCATTCTCCAACCCTGGAATTATTTAGCTTTATTTAATATTTCAAGCAGATAAATTATTATTTATTTATTTATTTATCTTTGAGATGCAGTTTTCCTCTTGTCACCCAGGCTGGAGTGCAATGGCACGATCTCAGCTCACTGCAACCTCCACTTCCCAGATTCTAGTGATTCTCCTGCCTCAGTCTCCCAAGCTGCTGGCATTACAGGCACTTGCCACAACGCCTGGCTGATTTTTGCATTTTTAGTAGAGACGAGCTTTCACCATGTTGGCCAGGCTGGTCTTGAACTCCTGACCTAAGGTGATTCGCCTGCTTCAGCCTCCCAAAGTGCTGCGATTACAGGTGCAAGCCACCGCGCCCGGCCTCAAGCAGATAAATTAAAACACTAGGAACAAATTCTTAGGTAGGGATGTAGGGTGTTTCTGGACTCAGCAGAAGAGTACCTCTCCCCTGACCTCCTTTGGCTAAAGTGCCTTCCAGATTTTATTACTATTGTTAACATTTCCAACAGCCATTTTAACATTATTTTTACAAATTTGATGTGAATATTCCATATTAGAAATATGATTTCAGAAGACAAGAATTTGTTGTGAAAATGCTAAGACTGAAGCTGACAGAATAACATTCCTGCTTACAATGAACTTTTGCACGTATAGTAGAAAACCAGGAGCGTCCTCAATGTGCTCCTTCACCCTATTGGCTGCATCTCCATGAGCCCCTGAGAAGGGAAATTAACACTACCTGCAGAGGAGACAAGAGGCACTGAGGACCCAGGAGGACCCACAATAAGTTGCTAAAATGAAACATCTGTTACATTTGTGTTTAATTAGTAATATGTCTTTACACACCAATGGGTTTTGCTATATTGCAACACAAGTTGTAAATGATCCCAGCATTGTGGTATACAGACAAAATATTATCAAGTATTTATGGGACATGGATGGTCTATGTCTTGTCCTAT
Organism: Homo sapiens; assembly: GCF_000001405.40. Classification (NCBI taxonomy): domain Eukaryota; kingdom Metazoa; phylum Chordata; class Mammalia; order Primates; family Hominidae; genus Homo; species Homo sapiens. The sequence goes on along the minus strand of NC_000010.11, from coordinate 8,854,095 downwards.
CATAATTTAAAGACAAAAACACAAAGCACAAATTTTCTTTTTCGGTCTATTGAAGTAAAATCAAAGAGAATTTTTGAAGGGCAAGATCTCATTGCTGTGTACTGGCAGTCAAGCCCTTCTCACACTTAATGGGTGTTCCATGCCAAATTCCCAAGCCCCTGCGGGTGAAAATTTCCCCTAAAAAGACCTGGAAGGAATTCAAGGCTGCTAAAGGCTTGAATAAAACTTGACTTAATGTGTATTGTACATCTTTATTACCCTAAGATGATATAATTACCTTCTTAAATCATGTGAGAAAATCTTAAGCACATTATTAACAAATGATAATATTCCCAAACCAAACCAGTTTGGTGCTGGTCTCTCCAAATAAGAGAATAGAGTGGATAGCAAGCAAGCCAATGAAATGGCTAACAAGTTCAAAGTAGGAAATAATACGAAGTGCCCTGATTCTACTGAAAACCATAAGACTTAAGGGAAACAAATTAGCCTCTGGTGGAGCTGTGTGGTAAATAGACAGAAATCCTTTTGAATTGTGCAAGAAATTCTAATGTATAATTTTTGGATATTCCATAAGAAATTAACCAAAATAGAAATATGAACTTCTCAAAATAAAATGAATACAGAAAAATCTTCTGGGAAGACTACCTATTTTAGCTTCTTAGAAAACGAGTTGAATCATTATTCAATCATAGTTGAAATTAGCAAAATCAATTTCTTATGGTGCTTGGGAATAAAAGAAATGCATGTTAATTTATATCCTTTCCTTCACCCTGCGTTCAACCAATCCTGAATATTAAAAGTCGGTCTAAGGCCTGGGTGGCTCACACCTATAATCCGAGCACTTTGGGATGCTGAGCTCAGCAGTTTGAGACCAGCCTGGCCAACATGATGAAACCCCATCTCTACTAAAAAAAAAAAAAAAAAAAAATACACAAGTTAAAAATACACAAATTAGCTGGGTGTGGTGGTGTGCGCCTGTAATCCTAGCTATTCAGGAAGCTGAGGCAAGAGAATCGCTTGAACCCAGGAGGCGGAGGTTGCAGGAGGTTGCAGTGAGCTGAGATCAAGCCAGCGTACTCCACCCTGGGCAATAGAGAGATTCCTTCTCAAAAAAAAAAAATAATAATCGGTCTAAGAAGAAACTGTCTTAATAATTCTTACATTCAACTACATGCTATGAAATATTTTCAGTGAAACATCTTTTGGAAATCTTAGGATTGAAAATAAAGCTCCTAGTCAGAGGTGTATTGCCACTCTCTGGGTGGTTCTGGCTTCTGGAGGAGGGCTGGGAGGGCGATTGCCTTCTCCTCTCTCCCGACATTCTGCAGGCTGGTCTACCTGCAGGAAGAGGCAGGTTTTCTCCTGGAGCCTCTGTGTAAAGTACTCTGGAGGGCTGGCTTTCAACTGCAGGTGATGAACTGTAGGTGGGGGCTGGCTCATCCATTGCTTAACTGCAGATCAAAACAGATTTTGTTTTGGAATTTCGTTTTGAAATCAAAACCTCAGAGCATTTAAGAGTTATCCTTTAGCAGTATGTTAAGGAAGATGGCTTAGGAGTACTTTTGCAGCAGCTTTTAGTATTAAATTTTGGCAGAAAATGACTGACATGGTTAATAATGCTAATTGGTTATCCCGAAGCCTAAAGCACAAGGATGGGTTTATTTTATATAACGATGGAAGAGAAGGAAAGGGCTTGTGTATTTCTGCCCTTGTTAAAATTACATTGGCCATATCTACACAAGTCCAAAGGCTGTTATGTATATCAAAATATTAGAAATATGAATAAAACACTTATCATTTCCACTGTTTTGAGTACCCTGTTTCTCCCAGATTTTTGAAATCTGGTGTGAAGAAAGCATTATTGGACCTAGAAACAATGACTATTGGCTGAGGACAACACACTCTACGTAAGAAAGTATATTTTTAGTTGACAATGTAGTGCACTTATTAGAAGTTTCTCAATAGTTCATGGCACAAAACAGGTTGATTTGCAATTTATGGATGTTTTGGAAATCATCCATGAGCAAACTGTGTTCATAAATATTTCTGCACTATTTCAGGAGACAATAAAATATATTCCCTTTTCCTAACCATTTCTTTATTCCTTGAAACTTGTGATCAATTCAGGTTGGTCAAAACTAGCCTCTAAGGTCATTGAGTAAGATATTTTCTGATACATATCTATGTAGTAAAGTCAGAACTTTAATCTTTCAGAAATAGGCAATAAAATATGCTATTATCATAAACTCACATCTAAACTGTCAATAATTCAGAGGCTTGAGCGATCATCTGGACAGTCTAGAAAGTCAATTTAGACAATTCAACAACCACAATTTGTACTAAATTTATTAGATAACTCTGCCTTGCTGATGTAGACATAATCCAACTCATCTAAAAGTTCTCAAGGGATAACTAAAAACCTACAGCTCAGTCCCAAACTGCGACCATTAAGAACATGTATAAATTCACTAGCGAATTACACAAATCTCATTCTTAGATGACATTACTAGCATGGTTTATCAAAAAAAAAATTCCAACATATTTTGTGGTTTAAAATTGAAAAAAAAACGGCATATACATTTTCCCCAGCTTTATTAAGGCATGGCTGTCATAAAATTATATACTGTTATGATGCACAATGTAATGTTTTGATATATGTATACATTGTGAAATTAACTGAAGCTAATTAACACATCTATCACCTCACATACATATCATTTTTTATGCTGAGAACATTTAAAATCTAATCTCTTAACAAATTTCAAGACTATAGTATATGATTATTACCTGTAGTCACCATTCTCTACAATAGATCTCTAGAACTTATTTTTCCTCTCTAACTGAAACTTTATACACTTTGACCACTATTTCCCCATCTCCCCTCCCCCAGCCCCTAGTAACTACCATTCTACTTTCTGCTTTTATGAGTTCAACTTTTTTAGACTTCACATATAAGTGAGATGCCACAGTATTTGTCTTTCTATGCCTGGCTGATTTTATGGAACATAATGTCCTTCAAGTTCATCCATGTAGTCACATAGGACAGCCATAACCTTCTTGAACAGTTTTGCAAAATTGTAGTCAATGTCTTTCCAAGCCACAAGGCAACTGATTATAATAAAATTTGAGTTAAGGGAACAGGATTCTAATTTGAGTTCTTCCTCAAACAAGATGTGTAACATGAAAAAGTCATGTCATCAGTTCCTAGACAAAGTGGAAAGCCAAGCACCTATGGAAACCCTTCCCCCATTCCAAACACTTGGAAATATACAATAAAGATTTATAAATTTATATTAATATGAACAAATCAATATATGGATACATACATCTTTAAAACAAACAGTTTCATTTGAAAGCAAGAAAAGAAATTTCCAGAAGTCAGAAATTTAGAAAAAAAAAAAGTCAAGTCCATAAATAGGAACAGCTCAACTTTTGTGACCCACAGTGGGGCTAAGACCCTAGGGCTGAAGGTTTTTGAACAAAAGCCATAGGTTCAACGTGGGAGAAAGAACAGGAATTAAACTCTGTAAGTCCCGAATCTAGCAACCCACTGTTTTTTGTTTTCTGTTTTGGGTATTTTTTTTTGCTGTTGTTTTTTGCTTGTTTGTTTTTTACAAACAGAAATTCCAGAATATTTCCAATTGAGCTTCCTAGATCAAAGGTCTTGCCACTGGCCATGAATAGAATGGTGCCCATAACCACTTCAAAACCAGAAATCTGCATCTTTACAGTAAATAGGGCTCAGATTCATTTTATTCAATCTATCAGATTCATTTTGTTGTAATATAATGACTTGTTAAAGCAACATTAAAATCTAATTTGAGACCCGTGAATTTTGCATGGACTAGACAGAGACAGCCATGAAACTAATCCCAAAGCAAGGTTATACAAACTGTGTCCAATGGTAAGTAATTCCCATGGAAAGTGAGCTCACAAAGAATCATTAGTAAACACATGGCAAATTCTAGCATCAAGAATATAAGTGGGCAGATCCAAGGAAAAAAGGAACTCAAATGTAAGGAACTAGAGATAATATCCACATCTTAAAAGAGCTTTAAAATAAGTGTTTTTTTTTAATCTTCAGAGATACAGAGGAAGGGATAACATCCATCAAGCAAGCTCAAACTGATAAAAAAAAGAAACATGCAAAGTCTTAAGAATAAAAGGAGAAAATGGTGAGAATGGGCTTCTTAGTTTGATCCCCAAATTTAAAGGAAATATTTCAAATATTTCACTAGTCAGTAGTTTGTTATAGGTTTCCAGAATGTGTGCTTTATTAGGTTAAAGATATTCTCATTTATTTCTAGGTTGCTTTGCTTTTTTCCTTTCAAATCAAGAAGGTACATTGAAGTGTAATGCTTTTCTACAATATGGATAATATCATATTGTGTTTCTACTGTCATCTGTTAATATTAAGTTCCTGTAAGCTTTCCAATATTGGAGATTACTTCCATTCCTGGGTTAAATCCTTTTTGGTTGTAGTGCATTTTTTTTCATAAATTGTTAGATTCTGTTTTCTAACTTTTGTTTGTAATGTATATCCACATTTAATGTGTAATAGTTTTGTTCTATCGTATTTCCCTTCGAGTAATATTTCCTCCCTTATACATATGTGAAAGAAGTTCTATAACATAAGAGTTAAATACATATTGAAGATTGCTAGAACTAGCTTGGAGCAACTTTGAAATTAGTGCTTGGATGTAGATAGATTTTTGACCAGTGATTCAAATTCTTTAGCAGCTATTCAGACCTTTATCTTTCTTCCTGATAAATTCTTACTTTTCAAGAAACTAGCTTTAAATATAACATAATTTTTTTCTAACATTCTCCTTGTTCCAGTGTTTGTTGTATCTGTGATTACGTCTTCTTTTTTCAGTATTCAAACTTTATTTATGGTTATTCTCTTTATGCTTAAGGAAGTGCTTTCTTTTATATTTATTAATATTTTTAAAGGCACTGCTTTATTTTTATTTTTATGATTTTTTTCATTGTGTTTTATTTAATTTATTTCTACTCTTTATTTCTACTCAATTTGGGTCACTGGGGATTTTTTTCAAATCTTTCAGAGTTGAATACTTAGCTCATTGATTTTTTTTTCTTACTGTTTCCTATTAAGTGCAATTAAAGTTACACATCACACTCTAAGAATAATATAGTTTCATCTTACAAGCTTTGGCCTGTAGTGTTTTTATTGTCATTCCATTTCAACATTTTGTAAATGTTAGGATTTCTCTAATGACATAAATAATTTATAAGTATATTGGACTTTGTTTACAAAAACGTTTGTTGTTTTTTAGGAAAATATGCCATACTCTTGTTATTGATTCCTAGTTGCACAGTTCTACTGGTAGAGACAGTATAATATGATAAATTATTGGTAATATAAAAAAATTCCTTTCTTTGTGTTGTAGCAAATGCTTCGGCTTTTGAAATGGTTTTTATTTTCCTGAAAAAAAAAATATTGTCTACATATGTGTTAGATGATACATTTGTTTGCCTTTTTCTATAAATTCGTAGCTTATTTTTGCTCTGCTTGATCTATCAGTTTATGAGAAAGATCTATGAGAATATTTTACTGTGACTCTGGTTTTCAGATTATCCTTTTAATTCTCTCCATTTTCATTTCATGTACATCAATACTATGTTGTTAGACATTTGTTAGAACCATACAAATTCTCAATTATTTTGTTACTGGAAAGGTATTCTTTTTTTGATTTAATAATTACTTCATTTTACCCAAGATATGCTTTTCATGAAAAAACTATTATTGTTCCAAGTGCCTCATTTTTCTTTTAGTTGTATCTTATGAATTATTTACTTGTATTTGTTCCATGTTCCTATATGCTTTTAATCTTTGTCTCTCCACTGGAGAGTTTAGTTGATTTACCATCAAATGTATATTATTAATATATTTTATTAATTCTACCATAATTTGTTGTTTCTATAAGTGTGATTATTTTCCTTTTGTCTTCAAATTTTTTCATTTTATTTTTCTTCTATGCTTTTGGAAATCGTGCCAGCTCCGTCATTTTGTTTGCTTGTGGGTTTCTTATTGATGGTTACTCTTTGTAATTTATTATGAAAACATAATATCTCAGAGAAATAATTTGCCTATCCACATGTCAGCTTTTTCATATGTAAAATTAGGAGGTTGTTCTAAAGTCCTATGCATTTATATACCCTCTCATTTTTTATTAGAGGGAGAAAATAGGCTATATCTTCTTGAAGCAGCCTTATTTGGAGTTTTAAAGGTTTGTGATTTCCTTTACCATTTCGGGAGGTAGAGAACAATTCCAGAGAAAAGAACCATGGTCCTGCCTCTGCTTCTCCAAGAGCAATTCTATGCTTAGTCTTTTTGGTAGAGTTCTGTGTTAGATTTTACTCAAGGAGAGGTTCTTAAAAAATTTTTTTAAAAAAAGCAGCAGAATAAGGTTTTAAATCTATTACAAAGATGAAAATAAAATTAAGATAGTTCGCTGATTATTGACTAACTGTACCCAACATGGTAAGTCAAAAATCAGTGGCAAACAGTAAGATCTCAGAGCTTTGCATGTGCCCCTGACTCTCCATCTTTTTGGTTATTTTTCTCAATGGAATATATGAAATGTGCTCTTATCATTCTGTTTGCTGCAAACTTGATAGGGCTAGAAAAAATGCTGAGTGGAAACTGAATAGAAAGCGTCTTCAACAGCAATTTTCACAAATATTTAGTATTTTAGGAAATTTTATTATAGAATTACTAAGAGGATAGGTTCAACCTGAATGAAAGAAAATTTGGAAAATATGTGATAGATGTTTCCAAAATCTGAACAGTTGTCATGTTTATAATGAATTAATCAGAGTGGTTCCAGAAAATAATACTAGAGCAAAATATAGTCAACACTAGTTTATTAATAGGTAGAACTTCCCAGCAAGTAGTACTGTTTGAAAAATTAGTGGGCTGTCATCTGCAGAAGTTAGTTTATTCGTTACTAGAAGCACTTGAACATCAGAATTGCTGGGCTCTTCTAAACAGAATCCTCAATGTAGGTGGTGGATGAAGTAGGTAGAATTGAAGCTGCTTTCTAATTCTGCAGTGCTATACATTGCAAATTAAACCTCTAAAGGTCATACTTATTGTAACACTTTGGTTCACAATTGCAAATCATTTTAAAGATAAGGCAGAATGAATAAGTGCATGAATAAATAAAATTATAAAAAATAGTTATTTAAATATTTATGTTCAGAGTTTACATCATTACAATGTTATTTTCTGGACATTTACTTGTCATAAAATAATTATATGTCAAGAAGAAGGTAAATATTTGTGAATAAAAAGTGTAAACAAAAATAAGAAAAAAATTTACTTGTATAGTTACTAAAACCATCACCAATACTATTGGCATTTTCATTCTCTTGTTCAGTTTTACTCAAGTGCATAATTCCAGAAGGCACAGGTTTTGTTTTGTTTTGTTTTGTTTTATGGAATTTCATTCTTGTTGCCCAAGCCGGAGTGCAATGACGCAATCTTTGCTCACTGAAATCTCCACCTCCTGGGTTCAAGCGATTCACCTGCCTCAGCCTCCCGAGTAGCTGAGACTACAGGCACCCACTACCACGCCTGGCTAATTTTTTGTATTTTTAGTAGAAACGGGGTTTCACCATGTTAGCCAGGCTGGTCTCGAACTCCTGACCTCAGATGATCCACCTGCCTCAGCCTTCCAAAGGAAGGCACAGCTTTGAGGCATACTGAAACCTCAGCAGTATAGTATGGTGGGGAAAAGGTGGAAGCTCAGCCAAGGTGGCCCTTGGACTAGCACATGCATGTCTTGGAGAGAAAAACTGTCAAAATGCACGTTCTAAAGGCATTGGGCACAATCTAAGTATAGCAATGTCTTATCCAGAGTCAATATCCTCATTTGGCAGCAGCATTCTCTGTCCAGGTCATCAGTACCTTCACAGCTGCACCACACCAGTTCTGGGCACATGGACAACAGATCAAGCTCCCCCATCATCACATAAGTTAGGCACCAAAGAGTTAGCAAGGGTATTCAGTTCCCACTTAATTGATTTGCATATCATGCAGGCTCTGATTTCAGTACTAATTGAAGTACTAAGCAGAAAACCAAGACAGTGTTCCAAAAACTGGACCAAGCCAACAGAATAAAAGATATTCAACCTAGAAGCACTTTTCTGCCAAGGACTCAACCTAAATATCCACGAAACTCAACTATAGGATTCAATTTCTTTGTAAAAATCATCTAAGTCTCAAGGTTGTCGAAAGCCCATCTATTTCCATTAGAATTGTCTCAGGAACTACACGGACTGCAAGGATATCAAGGAAAGGGCACAGTATCTGTGAACTGTAATCAGAAAAGTAATAGGTTCAGGGGGTAGTTCCCATCTCTAACTATCAAAAATATAATGCATTATTTTTAATAATTTCTTGAGGCCAAATTCACAAAACACAAAATTAACCATCTTAAATAAAAAATTCAGTGGCATTTTATACATTTACAATGTTGTGCAACTACCTCGAGTTCCAGAGCATTTCTATCAGTCCAAAGTAAATTGTCTCACCTATTGAGCAATTTATCTCTGTGCCCTGCAGCCCCTGGAAACCATTAATTTGTGTCCCTTCCCTATAGAGTCATCTATTCTAGATGCTTCATATAAATGGAATTTTAGAATATATGACCTTTTGTCATATATTCTAGAATCCTAATTCTAGAATATTATAGAATATACGACAGAAGATGATCTGTCTTCTCTCAGTTAACATAACACTACATTGTAGTAAATATCAGTACTTCACTCCTTTTTATGACTGAACAATATTCCATACACACATACACATATACATATCACATCTTTGCCCATTTATACATTGATGGATATTTAGTCACTTCTATGTCTTGGTTATTGTCAACCGTGCTGCTATGCACATGTGTATGCACATACATGTTTGAGTATTTGTTTTCAATTCTCTTGAGTATTGAGATAACTCTATGTTTGATTTTCTGAGAAACTACCAAACTGTTTTCTGTAGCAGCTGAACCATCTTACATTCCCTTTGGTAATACATGAGAGTTCCAATTTCTCCACATCCTCACCAACACTTCTTATTTTCTGTTTTTTTAATGATACCCATTCTATTATAAAAATAGTGAGAGTAAAGTGGATCTCTTTGTGGTTTTAATTTGCACTTTCCTAGTAACTAATGATGTTGAGCATTTTTTCATGTTCTTAGTTATTTGTACGTCTTCTTTGGAGAAATGTTTATTCAAGTCTTTCTCCTATTTTTAATTGGATTGTTTGTTTTCTTATAATTTATATTCAAGAAAAGTCCACCAGATGAAAATAAAAATGTTATTTTATTAAATGTTTCAAAGAGATTAATTTTGTAGATGGTACAACCATCTGATTTGCCTTTACTTTTTGTAAACCCTTTAAAACTACTTTCAAATATGATTTTAAGAAAAAAATAAATTTGTTAATTTTGGAAGTTGTAAAGTAGGTACAGTTACAACTGACTTGCATAACACTAAAGAAAACATTGTAATTCCTACGCCAGTAGTGGGGGTAAACTGAGAACCAACCTAATTTTCACCACAGGGCCCTCTGGAAATAGAGGAACTAAAATGATGACTGTTTGAAAGTGAAGAGGCAGATTCCTAGAACATCACTCCTACTGCATTCCTTACCTCCACTCCATACCCTTTCCTTCTTCACTCAGGTAGGACTGTCTCTGGAATGCATGACAGCATGCACAGTTCAGAGCTTGGATGTGATCCTGGAAATGGGCTTAGATGACCTTATGAACACTGAATGCTGATTGCAGACACTCTCAACCTTCTTCCTCTAGTTGACTTCTATGGCTGTGCCAGCCAGTCCTAGACCCTTCTAGAAGAACACTAGATGATACATTTCTGAGGTATTTTATTACTTCAAAAGAAAAAAGCTACACCTAATAACATCATGTTTCTTTTTTAAAAAAAGCTCATGTATATCACTGTCCAGGAAAACTCCAAATCAATCAGCCTCTTCATCTGCTAAGAAAAAAAAATGTTCAAAACAAATGAAGATTAATATTCAGAAACACAGGATATTATATGACTGAAGCAAGAAGAAACGTTATGTGAAAAGAAATAGAAAACTAAAAAAACCTGGAAATTAAATACATATTAGCAGTCTTAAAACTACATAGAAGTCTAGACAACAACATTGAAAAGAAAAAAAGAAAAAATTTTCAGACTTAGAAGAACAAGGCAAAGATAGGGGGAATAAAAATTAAAAAAAAAAAAGTAGAACAGTTCAATATCCAAAATTATACAGTTCCTGAAAGAAAAAATAGAGAATACGAGAATAAAGAGAAATTAAAAGTCATTGAAATAATTAGAGAAAATTTCTAAAAATAAGTTGACAGACTGAAAGAGCTGAGTGCCCAGGAAAATAAATGAAATTAGACCAACACCAAGGAATAAAATTTCAGAACACAGCAGACAAAGAGAATATTCTGAAAGCTCCCAAAAAGAATAAAACATAAATCAGCATGGCTTCAGACATCTTAACAGAAGTACTATAAACAACAATCAGTGGAACTATGCCTTCATAATTGCAAAGGAAAATTATTTCCAATTCAGATTTTTACTCCCAGCCAAACTGTCACTTGAGTATCAGAGTAGAATACAGTGTTCTCTAATATTGACTGTCTTTCTAACAGTTCTTCCACTAGCAACAGAATATACTCGTCCAAAACAAAAAATAAATTTAAAATAGATATGAAATACAGATACAAGAGACAGAACAGACTTGGAGGAAGATAAAAGGAAGATCCAAAATTGGAGAGGTTGTAGCAGTGTGACTCTAGAAACAGACATATTGAGGGCTGCCATTACTAAGAGTTTCATTGGTATGATACTGCCATCAGAATCTGATAGTGAAATGTCTAGCTGAGACTGGTCCAGCTCCGTATCTCTTCTGAATCTGTGTTAATCCTGTACTGATGAATTTATTGTTCTTGTCTCTATGCCTTCCTACCTGGATTAGCTGATAACACACATTCTCCTTCATACCATTCCAGAAGTGTTTTGCTATAACCTACGTCTGAGAGGTAGAGGTATAAAGTACAGAATAAGCTCAGTGGGCAAAAGTAGACACCATATATTAATAGAATACCAGTACTTGGTCCAGCACTAAAAGCCATAACCCTGGTAAACTCTGCCCATGCCTCAATGCAAGATTCACACATAACCTTGCTCATTACACAGGGGCTCTTGTATCTTTAAAGAGACCTAAACCAAATTATTAGAAACTGTTTTTCTGGAAGCCTTCATCTAACAATGTAAGTATTGCCTTTCCTTTATATAGCTAGGGTGTGCTGGCTACTCGTTTTTTTAAAAAGTGAAGCACATATCATTCAGGCCTATAAACACAGATGATAAATTTTTAAAGAAAAAGGAGGGGATGGGCAGCATATCGTGCAAGGAAATGGTTTTCTTGAGATTGCAAGAAGCACATGATTGTGGAAAAGCAAAGAGATTTCTAAAGTACTTGTAATATTCTAATTCTTAATCTGGAATGTGCACATGGAGGTTTGTTTTACAATCTTCTTTAAGTTCTACGTATATATGAGCTGCTTTTCTGTACTATGATAAATTTTCAATTTTTTAAAAAAATGCGGCTCAACTAAGATGGTTGAAAGTCCAGACCTCCTAAACACAGCAGGCTGGGAAACTTTCCACAGTCCCAAATTATTAGTTTCCAAGAATGGCAGCTCCCACAAAAACTAGTTACTTCGCATATTCAAATTTTATTACTATAGTAATTAAATCATGCAACTTTTGTTCTGTTAAAATATTGACCAATCTCTTTTTTTAGTGACCAGCTGCATTGATGGCCCACTAATATGTAATATGGAAAGTTCCAATTTGGTAACTAAAATTGAAAGTATAAGTAGCATCTCTTCCTTTTGATTTAATTGCATGGAATATGGAGGAAAATTAAATTTGGGAGAATAAAGCAATTATCATTTGTGGTTTATGTGTTAAAATCAGCCCTGTAGTTATAGACGGGATTAAGTAATTATAGGTTGGAAAGACAGCTGCAAAGGTGTTTTAAATATATCATAATTCAAGAATTCTTATATTGTAATTGAATGTTTGGTATAATAATCTGAAATTATTTTTATGTCTGGGTAATGAAAATGCAATAAAAAGTTTAATTAGAAAAAATGCAGTGGATAAGAAGATAATGGAAACAAACTTTGAGAGAATATAATCATGCCTTATATCATGAATGTATATTTAAGACACCGTTAAGTGCAATAACGAAGTTGAAGATAATCAAGGAACATTGTTATAGAAATATATTAATACGACAGTAATTTCTTTTTAATTATTTTTAAACATTATATTCAAGGATCTTAATGCATTTTATATTACCAATTAACTCTGTAATAAAGCAAGTATTTCCCTTCATTTCTATTATGATCTTGCTAAACTGAGTCAAAGAGGAGAAAATTGTCTACCTATTTCAGAGTAGTAGTAACTACACTAGAACTGTAGCATGAAGTATATACTCTGGGAGCCCCAGTGAGTCCCCAAAATACGAAATTCGATAATACATTTAAAAACAGAAGATTATATTAGGATGCTATTAAGCATCCCTCAGGGGAGGTTCAATTAACTATCTAAGTGACTCTGCCCTGCATAGTCAACATCACTGGTACATTCCAATTCATGACTATGCAAAATTACAAATCACATCATGCCACACTCACTTTTCAAAAATTAAAAATTTATCACTTCAAATACCAAGAATGTATTACATTCTTTTCAAGTGCAATTTTAATTTTAAAATAGTTTCCAAACTAGTCCTACTGTGGATACGCCTCAGGAATATTAATTGCATTAGAGTCAATGACTAATCTTTATTGAAAGCCTACTACAGTCAGGAACTCTACCTGGATCTTTATGTGTTACCTTTGTTTAATTCTCAAAATAATTCAGTAGGTTAGGCATTTGTGTTGTCCCTGTTTCCAGCAGGTCGTGACTCTAAGTAACTAGTCCAAGTCAACACAGTGAGTGAGTGAAAGATGAGGCAGCCAAAGGCTTGAAGCGGGGGAATATATTTTTGCATTCCAAAAGCATGCTTTTCATTTTAACTGTTAAGTGCTGGAAGACTCAGATTATAGATTTTATATCATAAGTCAAACCATGAGGGGAATGCACAGAGAAGTAAGAGCATGTTCTCCCCCACGGAGAGGATATGACATTATCTGGCCTGTGGAAGGAATATAGAGGAATCTCAGACTGGAGGAAACCAAGTTAAAGGCTAGTATAGGACTCTTGCCTCTTCCCAATCCCAGCCTTGACTTTGAAATAAGTTCTAGGGAAAATTAAATTAACAAAAACCTAAGATAGGGTTAAAGGAAATGAAAGAACAGAGGTGTTTGTGCCTTAGTCTCCAGGTGGTAGCCTCTGGCTGAAAGGCTTTAGAGACTGGTCCAAGTATTAAAATAACAATGGCTGAGTTAAGTGAGTAGTCACAAAGGTAGGCTCCGAAGGCCTAGAGCCCTATGCACCCTGTGAGTAAGCATTTGAAAGTTTCGCACGGCCCTGGGGGACAGGGACTTGACTGAGACCCCCATTCAACTGAAAGAGGCTTCAAGAACACAGCCAAGGACTCCAACCAGCACATACAGCCCACCTCATACAAGATGGAGGACGCGCCACAATATGGAAACATCAGATGCTTGTGGCAAGAGCCACAATATGGAAACATCAGATGCTGGTGGCAAGAGCAGAAGTGAAAACCCCAGACCTGGACATAGAGCAGAACTGTCTCCCAGAATAATGCTCTCCTCTCTTCCCTTCCACAGATAACCACAAAGAAATAGAAATTAAGAGAGGATGATAGTGAAGAATCCTCATTTTACTATCTACTCATAGGGATACATATTATATTAGGAGGTGGCTGAATTACTATCATCAAGATTATATTTTGCTACGGTAAGATGGAAGGAATAAGATCTAGTATTTGATAGCACAACAGTAACTTATTATACGTTGGAATGTTTGTAACACAAAGAAAGGATAAACGCTTGAGGTAATGGATGCCTCAGATATGATCATTATACATTGTATGCCTGTATCAAAATATCTCATATACCCTGTAAATATATACACCTACTATGTACCCCTAAAAATGAAAACATTAAAATAAATTTTTAAAGATTATATTTTTCTGTTTCAGACTGGAAATGAGTTTCTTTAATAAGAAACTTCTGGCCGGGCGTGGTGGCTCACGCCTGTAATCCCAGCACTTTGGGAGGCCGAGGCAGGCGGATCACCTGAGGTTGGGAGTTCGAGACCATCCTGGCTAACATGGTGAAACCCTGTCTCTACTAAAAACATAAAAAAATTTAGCTGTGCGTGGTGGCGGGCGCCTGTAGTCCAAGCTACTCTGGAGGCTGAGGCAGGAGAATGGCGTGAACCCGGGAGGCGGAGCTTGCAGTGAGCCGAGATCGCACCACTGCACTACAGCCTGGGCCACAGAGCAAGACTCCATCTCAAAAAAAAAGAAAAGAAACTTCTGTGGCCTGAAACAATGTATATTCATTTTTAAAATGGCCCCTTTAGGTTTGCCTCTCACCCTCATACCAATATTCTTACTACTTTCTCTTATATTTTCCCAATTTCATGGTCATATTTACAACAATAGATCTTCTGACTCCCGCTGTTACTCTGTTTCCCACATTCTCTCTCGCACTCACCCATAGCTTAGCATTTACAAGTATAGAAGAACACTTATTTGCTATTCTCTCCAGGTTACTCTCGTAGACAATCTGGGCACATTCCTCTTTTAAAATGAGTTTTTGAAACATTGTTTGGCACCTTTTTTCTTCTAGTTTTAAAAAAGTATAAAAGAATCATCCCCAAAAAGAGTTTCCCTCGAAAAGAGAATCAGAAACTATTTATGGAGTAGATACGGATCTATAAACAGTGATCTCTAAAACCTCTTTTTTTTAAAATCCCCCCTCTGCTCCAGAATGTGTTTCATTAATCTCCCAGCATACTGTCTGAGATCTGTAATTTTTTTTTATTTTACTTTAAGTTCTGGGTTGCATGTGCAGAACGTGCAGGTTTGTTACATAGGTATACATATGGGCCATGGTGGTTTGCTGCACCTATCAACCCACCATCTAGGTTTTAAGCCCCCCATTCATTAGGTGTTTGTCCTAATGCTCTCCCCCAACCTTGCCCCCCAATCCCCCAACAGGCCCCAGTGTGTGATGTTCCCCTCCCTGTGTCCATGTGTTCTCATTGTTCAACTCCCACTTGTGAGTGAGAACCTACAGTGTTTGGTTTTCTGTTCCTGTGTTAGTTTGCTGAGAATGATGGCTTCCAGCTTGATCCATGTCCCTGCAAAGGACATGAACTCATTCTTTTTTGTGGCTGCATAGTATTCCATTGTGTATATGTGCCACATTTGCTTTATCCAGTCTATCATTGATGGGCATTTGGGTTGGTTCCAAGTCTTTGCTATTGTAAATAGTGCTGCAATAAACATACGTGTGTATGTGTCTTTATAGTAGAATGATTTATAATCCCTTGGGTATATACCCAGTAATGGGGTTGTAGGATCAAATGATATTTTTGGTTCTAGATCTTTGAGGAATTGCCACACTGTCTTATACAATGGCTGAACTAATTCACACTCATACCAATAGTGTAAAAGCGTTCCAATAAAACCTGTCTCTCAAGTTTGGGTATAGGGTCCAGTGCTGAAACAGGCTTGATAAAGGAGCTTTTGCCAAGATAGGAATGCACAGGACTCATCTTACCATCTCAGTGTACGAGAACAAACCACAGTTGGTCATCTCCAGGAGGGTGTGGGCTTGTGCAAAATTAAATCACACAAACACTGCCTGATTTGATTAAGAAGGATTTAAAGCAGAAAGACTAAAAACAAAACAAAACAAAAAAACGGAAAAAGAGGAAGTTCAATACTATACAGAATATCAGGTGTGTCACAGTGAAGAACAAACAAGTCATGAACATTGCCTACTAATCAAAAGAAGAAATATATGGGAAGGAATATGGCACTCATACCTGGCCCAGGGCCTCAGCTTAAGTGATTAATGCAGAGACTGTGGATATTAAAAGAAGTAAACCTGTGTTTTTATCCTGTACGTCACATAGGACTTATCAACATATCTCATGTACCCCATAAATATATGCACCTACTATGTATCCCTAAAAATTATGCTTGTACTTTAAAATTCTCCTATTTTAAAAGGGAAATGTGGGGGCCTGTGCTCAGATTGTCCACAGCAGTAAACTGGAGGGATTAGCAAATAGATATTCTCCTATGCTTATAAACGCTAATTTATGGTGGATAAGAGAAAGAATGTAGGAAGCAAAATAACAGGTAGGCTGGTTAATTTTATGTGTCAACTTGACTGGGCCATGAGATGCCCACATATCTGGATAAACATTATTTCTGGGCATGTCTCTGAGGAATTTCTGGAAGAAATTAGCAGTTGAATTGGTGGACTGAATAAAGCAGATGGCCCTCCCCAATGTGGGTGGGCATTATCCAACCTGTTGAGGACTCAGATAGAATAAAAGGGCTGAGGATGGTTAAATTAACTCTGCCTGACTACTTGGGCTGAAGCATCAGTGTTCTTCTGCCTTTGGACTTGAACTGGGACTTATGCCATAGTGCTTCTGAGTTCTTGGGCCTTTAGAGACTGGAATTATACCAGCTTTCCTGTGTCTCCAGCTTGCAGACAGAAGATCCTGGGACATCTCAGCCTCTGTAATCACATAAGCCAATTCCCTATAAAAACCTCATTTAAGATAGAGATAGAAATGATAGTGATAGAGAGAGAGATGGAGATAGAGATATCTCCTATTGGTTCTGTTTCTCTGGAGAATCCTGACTAATACGCACTGAAACCATGATGGTAGATGGTAGATACCATCAGCAAACAGTAGAGTAGTTTGGAAGACTTTCCAAAGGCAATAGAGAGTAATGGGGCTGGCATAAAGGGAATCAAATGGGATCCCAGGCATAATGTTCTTTGGAAAGTGGAAGGGAGAGCTAAGGCCACATGTGAGCAAAGAAGAATGAAAAACCCAAGTCAACACTCCAAAAGATGATCTTAAGAGTGGATAGAGTAGAATTTTAGAAACAGAGTTATGACTAGAAAGAGCTAACAATATCTAGACACCGTTTTTATTTATCATATATCCCAGAGTCTTGTAGAAATAATTTTCTAAATGTAAGCAGGAAATCACCCCACAGCTTGTTTTCTTTGGGGAAATAGGTTGAATTTCCTAGGAAGGAGATGACATGGAAAATAAAAAGAAATTACCAGAAAGTCCAGTTTCAAAATATTTTGCCATCTTACCTCATAATCCTGAACCTAATTTATCTTGTGGGAAATAATTTCACAATTAAATAGAAAATATAAAATTTTAAGATATATGTGGACTAGATGATAATATTTTATGTTTCTGAGTATCATTAGCTTTTACTAAATGCTTTTTACATGCATCATCTCACTTTCACCAATGATCTACAAATTAAATAAGACACATATGGATTTATCAATCCATAATCCATTTTATGGATAAGAAAGTTGTGATTTCAGGCAGTTTAAGTAGTTAGCCCAAGGTTTCAAAACTAATAACAGAGATGAGACAAAACACCTTTTTAGTATGCTTTAAGTTGAGTGATTTTCACACAATATCTCACTGACTTACTAAAATGTGCATGGCTAGAAGTGGACTAGGACTATGCTAGGGGCAGGGGGTTATCTAGGCAGAGAATTTGATTGCTGAGAGTATTTCAGAACAGAGCAATACCATTTGAAGGTAAACTCAAGAAACTCAAGGAATAACACCAACGTATCGATTTATTTAATTAGGGATCTAAATATTTTCTTGGATATATTTGGATTACTACCCACAGAAAATAAATCTAAGGAGACTTCCAAGATGAAGGCAAAGCTCTAAACAAAGTTAGTTCTATCACTTTATGATTAACATGGGTCTACCTTGAGAGTGTACTATTCTTGTGGACATCAGCTAACTTCAGATCAAACAGCCTTAGTTTCAGTCAGCCAAAGCCACTATTTAGTTTATTTTGGAGCTATCCAAGGTGCTCATCTCGAACTGTAGCTTTCACCTTATGAAGCCCACCTAGCAACTTTTCTGGTCCTATGTGTTACATTGATGAAAATGACTGTGATTTTATTTTTTATTTAACCACAATCTATAGTATGTAACACACTTACACACATAACTGAAAAAGAAACCCTGATATTTTCTATTCTATTTTTCTTTACTGTAAAGAAAAGACTCTGTTTATAACCCATTAAATTGGTTTCATGACTCACGAATGGATTCTGACTCACAGTGTAGAAAAGAAAACTGAAAAGGACTATTTATATATTTATTTTTGAGACAAGGTCTTGCACTGTCACACAGGCTGGAGTACAGTGGCATGATTACACCTAACTGCAGCCTCAACCTCCTGGGCTCAAGTGATTTTCCCACCGCAGCCTCCCAAGTAGCTAAGACTACAGGCATATGCCACCATGCTTAGCTACTTATTTGATTTTTTTTTTTTCACGGAAATGAGTTCTCGCTACGTTGCCCAGCCTGGTCCTGAACTCTGGGGCTCAAGCCATCCTGACTCCTCGGCCTCCCAAAGTGCTGGGATTACAGTTGTGAGCCACCACACTCAGCCTGAAAAGGACTATTAATGACCATACTCATTGGATATACCTCTTTGTCCCATGTCTTATTCACCACACCTGCCTTTGTCCTCTTGCCTTGAATGTGTGTTCAGTCCTGTCACTTTACTGCATTTTCAAAATGACATTAGGTAAGTTCCTAAAGAAACCATGGTCAATATGATTTGGTCTCTAATATACATCCTCCACTAACCCAAGACCATGTCCCTTCACTCAAATATAATAAAGCTAGAGAGATCATGGGGTGGGGGAAATAATTGAAATCTTAATTGAGGATGCTCTTTCCAAAAAGGATCTGCCAAAGAAAGACCAAAGACACCAAACACAGGTAGCCATTCATATCATTTTTCTGTTTTTCACCCCATGTGCTTTTCTTTCATTTTTAGCAACTCAAGGGCAAATGTAAACCACTCTATTGCTCATGACCACCTTTCATCCACATCAAAGTTTGCAAGTAACACTTTCTTTAAAGTCGTACAATCACTATAAGGTCTGAATTATTCTCTTCACTTCCGTAGATGTGAAAACTTAGCTTCCAGGAGGTGAAATAGCTTTCCCAAGATAAAATAGGTAGGATGTGATGGACATTGTAAGCTTAGTATATTAATTAGACAAATAAGAATTGTTTGGAAGTGCATTACGTAATGCACAGTTTAAGAACATGAACAGTTTAGATACAACATTATAAACTAGCATGTATTAAGTAAGTAAAAAATAATGAAGCATCCATCATTACTTTAAAAAGCTATTAGACCCTTAATCCTTGTGCTACTGCACAATTTAATCACTGAGTGACATTATTTTAACAACCCTGGCTACAAGATAAACAATCTTAAGTAATCTTCTAATGAGAAAATAAAGCATGGATCTTTTTCAACTATAGTACAAGAATCTGGAGTAACTACCATTTACTGTGAGTGGAGCAGTGATCATCTTAAACTCAGTCTTAATCAGAGGAAATGATGAGGGAAAAAATACCGAGTTTTACTCCTGTCCCTTGTTTTTTAGGAAAGCTTTTAGAAATTCCAATAAATATTTGAACCATTAGAAACATGGGCAGGAGCAACATTAAAAAATAGAAACGGATCCAAGGTGTTTTGAGAAATATTAAGACATAAGGGAATATGAAGGCAAGAAGACAGAGAGCTATCGTTTTTGAGTCTGTAAATGAGATAATATATTTTTCAATTAGTCAAATAATAATATATAAAAGTAAACAATAATTATGGGGGTAATTATTCCAAGATAATGCATTCAACCATTTTTCACAGGGAAGGAGTTTCTAGAGGTAGGGATATCTGAGAAGATCTGAAGAGTCACTGGAGTGAAAAATGAAGGGCTGGAACACAAGAACCATGAGGAAAGGGTAATAGTTACAGCCATTGGAGCAAATGAAAAGATAGCAAATGGTGACTGAGAAAGTCTTCAAATCAGTTCAAGTGTATTGTAAGAAAGAGTCCAACATTGTTACATTCCCACTTTTTAAAATGCTTTAATTGCCTTAAAATCATTTATATTATTCATGTATAAATAAAGTTAAAGTGAGGCAGTCATTTAAGTATTAGCACAGGCCACATCGAAGGGAAACAACTATTCCTAAAATTCTCAATTAGGCTATAAATGCAAGATGAGCTGAAGGGAAATAGGTGATTTCCATTCTGTAGTGTGTATATATGAGGTTTTATTCTCATGACAAGAAACAGACTATGCAAATCTCTTTAATTTCTGGCATTTCAGCTTTCTAGAATTATTTTCCTGCCTAATTGAAATTTGCCACACTATTGTGATGACAAAGTATAATTTTCCACTTTTTATGTAGTTTGTGTCTTTAGCAACAATATATTTCATAACTGATAGAGACCTAACATGAGTATAATATCCTCAAGAAAATACAATTTCATCTGCCTTTCAGAAACGTATTGTTCTAGAGCCTCCAGAGGACTAAGAGCTGTGCCCAGGATGACGCCCCCATAGAAAAATTCAATTACCTATTTTTCTGTATTTCTTTGACTAAAAAAGAAACACTCAAAAATCAACCCACAACAGTACATGGGGGTCAAAGAAAGAAATTATATGGAGACTACAGAGGAACCTACCAACTGAAACAATGTTAATTGAAGAAATTATGTAAATGATTCATTTTTCAAATTCTCTACCGTCATTTTCATTAAAAAAATGATAATAGTATGATAATAGTGGCAAATAGGTTTTATGATCCATATCATCTAATAAATTTTCCATTTTAGGTGTTCTCTAATTCTGCTTCAAAAGAACATCTGTGTTCTACCCATTGGACTGAGACAATCTGCCAAAAAAATGACAGCACCTCTCAACTAGTAATAAAAAAAAAACAATTTTCAGATTTTTTTCTCATAAAACTTCCTCAACCTTTGATAATGTATGTACACTAGACTCTAGTAAAAACGATTATACATTTTGTTAATTTAATATAATTTAGAAGTTATACATTTAGTTATTTTGAATTAATTGTGTCAATATTTCATTCTCCTCTCCCCAGTGCACCCGGGTCTAGGTGATGTGAACCACAGAGCAGGACTTAGAATCCAGGAATTTGGCTCTTTCCCTAGCATCTTGCCTTCCAGATCTAAATGCTTTAGTAAAATTTTTGAAATACCAAAAGGAAGATATTTCACAATATTTCTAAGATTCTTGATGAAAAAGTACATAGATCTAATCAGACATTTGATTGAATAATGCTTTTATTTTACAGTCCAAAACATTGAAAGTCTCCGGGTGCTATTCCTTTTTAAAATTTTGCAATTATCACACAAAATTAAGTATAAAAGGAGTGAAGCAGAGAATAGAGATTTACCCCAATAAGGATATTCATTGAAGTCCTTATTTGAACAGGTTCACTAAAAGGTGACTATTAAGACAGGAAACTAGAAGATGAATAATACAGCAAAAGAAATCCAGACACCTAAGCATTCATAATAAACTTTTATCTCTATAGATTTATAATTCTTAAGTAGGAAAATTTATCTGCCCACTTTCTACCTCAACTTTTCAACGTAGAATTTCATCATATGAGGTTCCTTAGTCAGTAATTTCCAATAGCTTTCATGTGAAGACACAAAAGTGGCCAGGCGTGGTGATGGGCACCTTCAATCCCAGCTACTCAGGAGGCTGAGGTAAAAGAATCATTTGAGCCCAGGAGTTCAATGCCTGCCTGGGTAACCTTGAGAGACCCCTGTCTTTGGAAAAATGATTTTAAAAATGATAATATTTGGAATATATTACAAGGCAGCATGGGCAAGACTCATCCAGGGACTCCGGATGCCTCAGTCTATGTGCAGAGGGGCTGAGGGGATTGATAATATCATGGCCCACCTACCACCTGGTAAGTCCTGACACTTAGTTTGGAAGCCTCCCACTTCTTAGACTATCTTAGAAAAGAGAATCATTTTCTTATTGAGACTAATGATTGCCGGAAATAACTGTATTTATCTGTCATGTACCTTACATGCATGATCTCAACTCACCCTTTAACCAAACGTATGAGATAGGATCTATTATTAAACCAATTTTTTGGCTGGCAAAATGACAAATCTGGAATTCAACCATTAGGTTTCTAACAATGTAGTTTCCAAAACACTATGTGTTTCCATGTCTCTTTTGAGTCAGAAACCTAAATTAGTATTTCAAAATAATATAAAGCATTTAAGGTCAGCAAGCAATCTGATGGTAAAGCTAATATTCTAAACCCTGGGAAATATATTACACCAGTGAAAATCCATAGGCACAACAAAAGCCAATGAAAATCTATGGATAGTTTATCAGAGAAAGAAAATGTAGTGAATATTTCTCATTTCAAATTTTCTGACACTAGAATCATGACTTAAAAGTCTTTCTAGAAAAAGGGCTCTTACATAGCAGACATGTTTTATTGGCATAGTTTTCTAACTAAGTATCTAGGTACAGCAATTTAAATAGAAAAGAACATAAACATCCCATTCCCTCAGCAAAATAAAATATATATATTTATATGTACACATTCCTAAAAGCCTTGCTTACATACGATTTTACTTAAAAACTCTATGTCATCAGTATTTCTAAATGTATTACCAATAAGTAAGAGATTTTAGATAATTTTCAGTTCACAGTACAATTCTTTGAAATTAACCCACAAATTGGTTTTACCTTATATTTATATTTTATCAAACCCATCTTTCTGACGTAGGCAATTCTTTTCCTTGAGATTCTTACCAAGATGGTTATCATGCACAGAGTACACACTAGCCATTGGTGGTTTTAATCTCAGCTTAACATCTCTGTGTTTAGTACAATCCTTTTCTTTCAACTGATCATGTACATGCTAAGATGTCAAAACTGAAATCTTCTGACATATCAGTCATAGGTCCTAGAAAATGTGGAAAACCCTTCAAGGTTTCAAATTCAGTTTCAGCAAGAAAACTGGAAAGTTCATCACAATGATAAACTATATTATCAAATCTTAATGAATGACATTTATAGTTGGTGCACAGCCAAATACACTTTTTTATTATAGTTTAAGTTCAATGTCTCATCTGCTGAGAGGCAGGAGGGGAAAAAACAAATTTTATTACAGATTGTCATCAAATTGAAATACAACCTTTCTTGGTTACTGGGCTTCCTCATTAAGGGTTTCAGACTAACATACCTATAAACAATAAAATTTACCTAAAATGCAGTTTTCTGGAAACTGAACTGGTTCATTGGTTTGTGAGCAAAGCTCACTCTTGTACTATATTTTTCTCTCCTCACAATTCATTTCCCTTAAATAGCTTCGAAGTTTTCCCACTATCAATTTGAGAATGAAATTTCCCTTAACAAAAAACCCACAATAATAAAGGCAACAATTGCATTTACAGGTAGCTAAAACTTCAGAGGTCTTCAAGATAACTATTAAATTCATGGGAAATTCACCTCTTTGAAGAGACTGGTAACAGAGCTCCAGATCTTCTTAATAGACAGCTCATTACTGCAGATTGTCTATGCAAATTGTACACTGACTCGGCCCTCGGGGAAGGTTTTTTGTTTTCTGTCTCTGGTACTAACCTAGTGTAACTTGCCATATAACTGCCCTCTTGCCAGTAATGTTAATGATGGTGATTATTAGTAATAACTCTGAGTAATGAGGTTTTCTTCCTTGTACTCAAAATAATTGTTCCATGTAAATCCACAGCAATTTTTACAGTACGCTAAAGATTAGTAACATTAGAAACTTGGCAAATCTTACTTAGAGAGGCATTTTACCTAATGATCTAATCCATCAGTTCCTAGGCTTAACAGTCATGAGACTCACTTAGGGCCGAAGGATCTCCCCTCTTTCCACAGTAGCACTAGGAAATAATTTAGTCACCAAGCTACATTTTTAGGAGTTTTTTTTTTTTTTTTTTTTTTAGTGCTCTGAAAAATGTAAAGTCTAGTTTAAGCAAGGGAAGCCTGTGAGGGCATGAATATACGAAATGTACTGAAGGTTAGTCACATAGACTGAGCAATACCTTAATTGATCATTAAGTAAACATGACTTAGTTTTTAGACAACATTGTTCTTATACTTCAATGTCTAGACTTATTTCTAACCATGCTAAACTTGCAGTCAGTGTGTCAATCATGTGAGCTAGTGTATGAGAGTCAAGAAGAGGTTAGAAATATGAGCTGTGTGAGTTTTTTCTCGATCTCATCACTGCTCACACATCCCAGAATCTCTGATTTTTTTTTTTTTTTTTTAAAGAAAAAGAACAGGCCAGGTGTGGTGGCTCACATCTGTAATCCCAGGACTTTGGGAGGCCGAGGTGGGGGGATCACGAGGTCAGGAGATCGAGACCATTCTGGCTAATACAGTGAAACCCCGTCTCTACCAAAAATACAAAAAAAATTAGCTGGGCGTGGTGGTGGGCGCCTGTAGTCCCAGCTACTCGGGAGCCTGAGGCAGGAGAATGGCGTGAACCCGGGAGGCGGAGCTTGCAGTGAGCAGAGATTGCACCACTGCACTCCAGCCTGGGCGACAGAGCGAGACTCCGTCTCAAAAAAAAAAAAAAAAAAAAAAAAAAGAAAGAAAAGAAAAGAAAGACAAAGAACATATGTACGGAGAAAGTCGCTACTGGTCTTCTTATCCATTTTTTCTAACCTCACAGTCAGTTCTTTCCAAGAAAGACGTGGGACCACACATGCCAATGAAGAGGGTAAGGGAAAGGCAGGAAATGCAGGTTGGCTGTCTTGCCTTCCTTTTACACGGTTGCTGTTTACAAATAAGAACTAGGCTGACCAGAGACAAGAACTCAAGTTCACATCCTAGAAAGTTCCTTCTTTGTCCAAAGAAACTTCAAGTAATTGGATCTTTTCAACATATGGGAAAGTAGCACAAGTTTTCCTACTTCATTAAGGGGCCCTTGATGCAAACAAGGGCATAAGTAGAGGTCAGTAATCTACTCATAATTCCACCTCTGTTGTATGTGGATTTCATATATACATATCTATCTATCTATCTATCTATCTATCTATCTATCTATCTATCTATCTCTAGCTGTTTATGTTTGTGTGCCTACTTCTAGTCCAACCCCGTCTCACTTTATTTATTATAATAACATAGCAAGTCTTAACATTCAGAAGGAGAAGTCATCCTTAATCTGTATTATCCTTCTCCATCTTTGGGGTTGCCCTACAATTTGCCATATGAATTTTACTTAATTCATTGTCATGACACACACTGTTAGTATTTTTAGTAGAATTGCAGGTTTTTTCAATAGAAATGTCCAGCTTAGGGTTTTGAGTTTCTCATTAATGATCACAATATATATTTTATATTTATTTCTAATATACTATATTTAATTCAGAAAGTTTTTATTTCATTGATTAATATTTATTTGTTTTCTACCTCATTCATTTCTTATGTTTTTATTTTCTATAATATATCTATTGACTTTTTCTAGCTGGACATATTGTTTATTTTCAATTTATTTAATCTATTGAAGGCTATTTCTAAGCATGACTTTCACTTCATCCAATAAGTATTGTTGTATGTACTTTCTTAGTTATTTAATTAAAAATATTTCATAAATTCCATTGAGATTTCTTTTTAACTCATAATTTATATAGTAATGCATTTTTAATTCCCAAATATAGAGGGTTTTTCTTCTTTTTAAATTGTTAACTTTAAATTTATTTTAATTACAATCGAGTAATGAGATTCAGTTTCCTGTTGTAGGAATATATTTGTGTTCTTCTGCCTCCTTAGGCCCACAACTTCACGTAAACTTCATGTTTTGGAAGCAGTATTTTTCAGCTTCCTTGAGGCAAGGAGCTCTACCTCAACATCTACCTATAAGCCAAAACTTAGCTTCTGTGAATTTTCTCCAATAGAGGATCTCTTAGTTCTCGTCATCCCATGGGAGTGGTACTTGGAAGTAGCAGAGTACACCAGAATAATAAAAACCTACTTGGTAAACCCTTGGCTTCAGCTACATGCATCATTTTGTATATCAGGGAAAGATTTACCTCTTCAGGCATCTGGGTATGATATTTATTGTTTCTTTTAAAAAATACTTTCAGTATAATCATTAGGTGTTTAGAGTATAAATAGGCACATCAAATAATGAATTTACTCTAGCAAATTGGCTGGACACCCTAGATAATATTAATAATTTCTATATCAACCACCACAGAATAAGATATTATTATTCTATGGGATAAAGAAACAACCCTACAGAAGTTAAGAAACCTGCCAGTCAGACTTAATGAAGCCTGGAAGAGAGGAACACAATCACTCAAGAAAACCTTTTCACATACATGCTTGAAAGGAATTTTTAAATTTTGAGAGTTTTAAAAAAAATTATTTTAAAAAACTTTTTAAAATGCTGAAATTCTGAATTGGCGCAGCAAAAATACAACTATATCACTTTTCTTCCACACCTTTTCTCAGGCTTGTGTGAACATATACAAACATGCATACTTAGTGTTTTTATTTATAAATGATAATTATTTTTGTAGTGTATCACCACCATTTTTTCTCAATAGATTATGAATAATCTTTGTGCACATACACCTAAAACACGTCTTTTTAACAGTTGCCTGATATTCCATAAATAAATATGTAACATTTTATCATCTGTCTTATTGATGGATTTTGGGGGATTGTGTAAGGTTTGGGGAAATTATGTTTAGTATTATTAAATTCTTCCTCTTAAAATCTGTGCAGCCAACTCATTGCCTATTACCTTGATCACTACTTGCACTCTTTCAGACGTCCTGCCATCTGGACTCTCCAAGTGTGGTTGGTGCACATCGCAACTAACATGCGTGCCCTTGAGTTAGTCTCATTCCTAAATGAGGGAACAAGTGACTGGGGAAACAACAAAAAACTGTACACCTCTAAACACTTCATGAGTTTTCCTCAAAACTTTTTTACCGAAAGTTGAAGAAGCTATCTGAATTCTAATTTCTGAAGGAATTGTGTTTCAGTTGTATTGTGAATTGTGAGTTTCCAGTTGGGGGAGTTTTCCAGGAATGATGATTTTTCTTGACCTGTCATATTTGACCACCCCGAATGTATTGGGAAAATGTTATGAGGCTTCTCAAGGTAATGTGTTTCAACTTTCCCATTTCATTTTACAAAGCATAACAGTACATGCTCTGGAGGCAGATATGGCAGAAGATTCCGGCTACTGTCCTAGAAGAAAGTAGAAATCATCTCATTTGAGCATGTAGTAAAAAAATTATTTTTTAATATTTTATATATATATATATATATATATCCTTTTGAGGGCTAAATGTGATTAAACTTTGATTCACTGAAAAATAAAACGTCTTAGATATAAATTATTTGGCCTCAACCTTCATTAATTGATAATATTTTTCTTGAGTCCCTTTGTAAGATTCACCTAAATTGATGCTTCTAGATCTATGTTCAGAAAATAATTTCAGATTTTTACAGTACTTTTTATATAACAATGACAGTATTTTGTGAGTGGTCACCTTAAGTCTTATGTTAGCTCACAAACACCATGTGATCCGAGAAACAAAGTAGAGGTGTTAGAGTGATAAAAAGAAACAGCAGACATTTACATTCTGAAGTAATAAGGTATGCCATTTACTAATACTGAATTGAAAAAGCAATAATATAAAATCAGAGAAGATATCAATATTCTTTAATTTAGTGGAGCTATAATTGCATAATGAGAACATTCCTCCTTTGAGGCCATGTAAAAACCGTGCTAGACCCTCTGTCACTTGGCCCAATGGATCCATTCATTCCAAGACTTGATTTCCTGTCCAGTTTAGCATGCCATTAGCTGAAGGTAATTGTTGAGAGGATACTCTGTTACAAAAGCTACAGAAGCCTCCGTCATTTCAGCGCAGGATAGGTACCCTGAATAAAGGATCCTATTTCCCCAGCGTCCCTCATTATGTTTGTTTCTTCACACAATTGTGTGATTGTATACTGCTAAATAGTTATTTGGTGGTAATGGTGCATTTCAAATTGGTGACTCAAATAACAAGAATGGAGGAAAAACAGGGAGTGAGTATGATCTTTGCCGAGCCATACACCTGCACGTTTCAACTTAGTCAGTCGGGGAACAGAATCCCACAGAAATAATTTCAAGACCTTTTGCAATGGCTGAGTGAAGGAGTTCTGTGAAGAAATTATTTGAAAACTATGTAGATATTACGCGACTTAAGCCTATCAGTTTGCTTAGAACTGCATTTACTGTCTTCCTAGATAGGCAACCCCCTTCTCAGTCTTTTTCTACACATTCAATTATTTGAATTGTGGAAGTGAGCAAGAGCTTCACCTACCGTTTTTTTGTTTGTTTGTTTGTTGTTTGTTTTTTCAAAGAAAACAGGGAAAGTGATCTGGATTGACATCTCTTTAAATTGTGTCTTCCAGAGACATTTTCCCACAATAATGTTCAATAAATGCAGAAGAATTGGCTTTTTCAGCATATGAGCTTCAACACATTGTTGAAGAGATATGCTGGTAGAAAATGTATATTGTTGAAGAGATGTGATGGTGGAAAATTTATATTTTCCTATGTTTGCTTTTCTTTTTAAACCAGATTTAATTATGTAGATTATTCTCTAACTAGCTGAGGTTATGCAATTTGGTAAATAGTATGAATTAATTTCTGCCTTAAACAAGTGAATGTTGACTCTTGAAAATGTTTTTTATACTCTTTGGTGTAATTTTTTTAACTGTATATGAATGTATACCTATGAAGAATGAAAACAAAGTTGAAACCACTAAAAATATAATTTGTAGTCTGCAGAATTGTCTAGCCATTAAATTACTGAAATAGGCCATGTTTCATTGAGTCGTCCAATATTTTGAAAATCCTGAAAATGCTATGAGAATGCAGAAAGAAACAATGAAACTTTTTACAATTTTCAGACTAAATCTGTGAATGACATGAATTAACATGCCTATGTGAGAATGGAAGGATAACTACAAATAAAGCACTCTTTCACTAATATAATAACCAAGACATTGATGTGATTCCATCAAATGGAGTTGATTGATTCATTATCTTTGATCAGCATCATGATCAATGTGTCTGTCAATCAAGTCTTAAACCTTCTGAATCTCAGTTTATGCTCTAGTCAATTCAAGTTAATAGCACTTATCTGTCTGACAGAGTAGTAGCTTTGGCTTCACCAATTTAAATGTTAGAAAGCGTTTTGTGAAGTATCAGTCTATACATGTTCATATCTGAACATGGCACTCCAATACTCATTTGATTTATCCATTCCCATTTAAATCAAAACTTGAAATGCCTTTCTGTGTATTAACAAGTCATTCCGCAAGAAAAGAATTACCAAAATGCAGAGTTTTTATTTCCTCTCCTCGGTCTGTCTACAAAGATATGGCAGTGAGTCATGCATAGAAAGCTTATTTATACTTGCATGTTACACAAAGTTTCCCAAAATGTACTCATCTGCAAATGTTTTCCCCAGCTTTACAAACAATTACGTTGGCCAGAACAATGGTACAGCTGTGTCCTAAAGTTCAGTCACCTGAAGAAGCAATAATGTTATAAATCACCCAATGATGAATTTATTGACTGAAAATTAAGAAACATAAGCAAAATATCTTTGTGTTTCAAGAGCGGTTGGAAACGAGAAAATTTATATGAAATCCACACAAAGGTCAGAGATTTCACTTGCATATATTTTTTCCCTGAAAACTCAATAATTCAAACTTAATATTAAAGTGCTAGAAAAGATTATTTAAAATATGGTAAAAGGTCAGCCTACCATTTCTGAAGTAAGCTATTATACGTCATAAATAGCCAGAGCCAAGCATTCGTGAATGAGAGTTCTATCAGAGTAGCTAAATGATGAGCATGTTTAATTCGGAAAATAACTGAATAGTAAAGGGCAAAGAATGCACCCCTACGATGTATACTCATGCTAGTTTTTAATAGTATAACAAAGTTTTAGAATTTTTTTAAATACAAAAGTAGACAAACCAATAACACACCCAGAAATTATAAATAGAATGTGGGCATAATCAGCACCCATGTCTCTTCTGTTATAAAGTGTCTAGGTCAGCCTGAGGAAACAAGCCCCACGGAGTGTGTCTCCAGCCTCTACAAATTAAGGGACAAGGCTAGATACCCTCTAACACCTTTAAATCATTAAGATTATCATTGTGCATACTGCTAGAGTAGGATAATAACTATTAATAATACCAAATTCTGTGAATGGTAAAACTACTTTTTAAAAATTACAAAATAAAATAAATAATTGTTATTCATTAAATGTTTTGCTTACAAATAATGCAGCTAGTTGCAAATAGGCTTTCTATTGGACAAAAAAGTGCAAACAATCTGATTTATTTTATGCTTGGTCTTAATTTTATTTATAATCTATAGCCTTTAAAATGAAAGACAGAGAGGCACACACACACAGAGAGAGAGAGAGAGAGAGAGAGAGAGAGAAAGAGAGAGATCCTTTAGGGAGGAAATAATTCAGAACATTGGACCTCTTTAAGTATCATATTTTATATAAGTTCTACACCTATGGATATTCAGATGTTACCTCTCCTCAGAGATGTATTTCTTATATAAACTTTGAGAAACATGTGAAAAGATTGGGTATCTCTTCAGAAAAGACAATCTTAATGAACTTTCTTAAACAGAATAATTTTCTGGTGTAAATACTACCCAAACCCATAGGGTTGAAAACAACAAAAATACCTTCAGTGCAATTTTTTCAAATTGCTTTAAGAAGATAGCAATATTTCATCATTTGAAAGTGACAGATTTTCTGAATTGGGTGATGACAGAAATATAATTTTGCTGTAAAAATGTTACACAATCTTTGTACTACTGAAGAGGGCGTAGGGTAGCCATCAATCTGCATTATGAATCAGGTCCTCCTGAAAGAGCTTCCCAGGTGGTCTGTGTGCTTCTACCATCAGGTAAACTAACTCAAAAGTAAATTTTAAAAGGAATATTTTAATTGTCTTTAGGTAATTGTTTTTAAACATCAAATTCATTCCCGAGAATGTGGTATATCTCTGTCATTATTCAAGTGAAGGTCAACTATGCACCAGGTATGGCATCCAAAAATAGAAAGTCTATCACTCATGTCTCTGATTTGATATTTCTTAGGGTTGTTTCATGATTTCTGTATGTACAATTGATCAAGTAGGGCTGCATTTACACATAAACACCATTCCCGCCCTTAACCAATTCACCATGACTAGACCATTAATGGAATTCACTTTAAAGTGACAAAAGATCCTTTCTACCCTAAGCAGAAATCATTAAATGAAGGTGGTGGTTTTTTTCTTTTTCTTTCTTTTTTTTTTTTTTTTTTCCAGCAATGCAACCTCCATATACAAAAGACCATGGTATATTCAGGCCACTGACCAAAGGGCTACAATTAGCAATTATTTCACTCATTTTCAAAGGGCCATTTAGAATTAACCCAAACAAGCCCTGGAAACGTTATTGAAAAATAAGAATGACATTTCTGCTACTTCTGAATCTTACAGCTCAGGAAAACATTCATATTGAAGAAAAATGTACACAATATCTCAGAATAATAAATCAGTCTTTGCTTCCTGAATTCTAGCAAAAACTAAATTAAAATTTTAAATACCTTTACCCAAAACAAATGGTAGCAACCAGTACCTTTTATAAATGTTTATAATTAGCCTTCTTTGTGGACTTGTGATTGATTTGAGATTGAGCAGTGGGTAAACATTGTGCTATTAGCAGACCTGTTTCACATTCAGACAGACACCGGCCCCTACACAGCTCAAGGGATGTGGTATCTTTAAAGTTACCTGGGACTCTCATAAGGTAAAAGAAAAACCAACTCTAAAACGTTGTGTGGTGAGAGTCAGGGTTTATACAATAGGGTCTTCCAAAATGTGTGAACATGAAAGATAAACTAGAGAAACTTTTTTTTTTTTTTTGAGATGGAGTTTCGCCCTTGTTGCCCAGGCTGGAGTGCAATGGCACAATCTCAGCTCTCCGCGACCTCCCCCTCCAGGGTTCAAGTGATTCTCCTGCCTCAGCCTCCCCAGTAGCTGGGATTACAGGCATGCGCCACCACACCTGGTGACTTTTGTATTTTTAGTAAAGAGGGGGTTTCTCCATGTTGGTCAGGCTAGTCTCGAACTCCCGACCTTAGGTGATCCAACCACCTCAGCCTCCCAAAATGCTGGGATTACAGGTGAGAGCCACCGAGCCAGGCCCAACTAGAAAAACATTTCTAGCTATTCCTTGAGACACAACACATTTGTAATAAATCGACAATCATCTATTTGCTAAATAATAAAGTCCATAATAAAACAGAAATTAAAAGTAGTTTTGTGATTTAATTGCTTCACTGGTAGAACACTGGTTATAAGGAACATACGAGTTAAGCCTTTATGATCTGATTTACACTGCCTGGAAGGCCCCTGTCCTGCTGCAAAATAATCCTTATCATAGTCACCATCATAGCGATACATACATACTTCACATTTTGGTTGCATTTTATAGTTTATTTTATTTATTCCTCAGAATAGTCTTGGAAGAAAACCAAGCAAGTTGTAGAGGAAAAACAAACAGGGTAGAACTGAAATCGATAAGGCTTGAGTTTGAATCCGTGTGTCTTTGTACATTTGGAGAAATTACTTAACCTTCATAAATCTTCATATCCTAATATTTAAATTGTAATTAAATAATATGCACCTTGGAGAGTTGCTATGGTTATTGGTGTTCAAGAAATAGAATTTGTCATCGTTCACATTTTATGGATGAAGAAGGTTAAATTTAGAAAATTTAAGTTACCTGTATAAAATTGTACAGCTAAATAGCAGAACTAGAACAATAATTTGAGTCAAAGAATTTCACCTTCTGTGTTTATTTCAATTATCATTTCTAGCTTTTACACCCAAGCTTAAATATTACCTTTGCTTGGAAACCTTTGAGAATGACAGAGTTTCTCTCCTAGTTTATAGCAATCTCACTTCTTTTGCCTCCCGTAATACTATCTTTATACCTTATTTGGGACTTTTTATCATATATATTATAAATAATAGATGAGTCAATAAGTAGACAAATCAATAGAAAGGGGAATGGATATATAGACAGACCACATGAAGAGATTATCTTTACCTAACTGCACAGTAAGTTCCTCAAGGACAAAGAACCACACTTACCTTATAATGGAGATGCTCAATATTTTTGATGCTTTTCTTTGGATACATGAAGTTTACTACCCATAAAGAGTGACTCAAAATTGGATCTTTAAGACACTCTTCTCTTATATTTTACTATGAGTATCATATAGGTAAAATCAAGTAATGAAGTTTCAATTCTATATTGCTAATACAATTAAAATTATAGTGATTTTTATTATATAAATTGCAATGATTCTGACTCTACAACAGGTAACCCCCCTTCCAGTGCTGATGCCTTTTTCCATAAAAGTTCACACCAAACAGGATGAAAGATTGCCCCCGAAAAGAAAAACACACATTCATGATGAACTTTTTACTGTCATGTTCTTGGAATAATTTACATTCTTTAAGCCCAGAGACTGTTATTAACCCTAAGCATGATGTTTAGGCTGAACATCTTATAAAACTCTTTTTAGTATTTCAGATTTGATTAAAACAAGGTATCAGCTCGTGGCTCCAAAATAGTTCAATAACTAGACTTATTCTAAATATATATATATATATGCAGATGTTGAAAAGGGTTTATTAGGCAGTTGGTCCATATGTAAATCATTCAAAGCAGCTTTAGGGACGATTACAGAAAGTCTTCTCATAGTTGCTCTTCAACCCTCTCTACTTCATACTTCAAGAAGCCATGTAATTCTTCCCTGGGTCTAACAAAAGATTATTTTTTATTTTGTGTTTGCCCCAATACAAGTTACACTTAAATGACCAGAACAGCTAATTAGCTTTCTCTTTATAACATTATTTTAAACTATGAGCACAATTTTAAGTCACCTTAAGCTAGTGTATTTTTAACAAGTCAGACATTATTTGGTATCCAACATAATTACCCCAATTTATTTTTCCTGATTGAATTGCAGTAAATATATCCACCTCCTGTTTATAAACATATATATATATGTTTATATATATATACACACACACACACACACACACACACACACACACACACACACACACACATCCCTAAAATCATTTCTTTCTTAAGCTATAATGTACTCAGGTTCAACATATATACCTAGATTCAACTTAATTCAGAAGGGAGAGAGTTTTCCTTTTTGCTAGCTTTTTGGAGGGTAGGGATCAGATTGAGATTCTTGTTTTTGTTTTGCTATAAATTTTCCTTTTCTAATATACTAATTAAATTTTCATTTAAAAAATAATAATCCCTCCAGCCCATTCCTAATGAGTGCCTTTTCTATGGATCAAAAGAATGTATCTTACTACATTAACATGAATGTTAGTAAACATGTTTCATTTATTCCTCCAATTCTAATGGAATGG
Organism: Homo sapiens; assembly: GCF_000001405.40. Lineage (NCBI taxonomy): Eukaryota > Metazoa > Chordata > Mammalia > Primates > Hominidae > Homo > Homo sapiens. The sequence goes on along the minus strand of NC_000010.11, from coordinate 8,819,381 downwards.
AACATATGAAAAATCTATTTATGTTCAAGTACAATAATTTTATGCTTTATTTAATAGAAATACATCTGAAAGTAGTATCCCCTTTACTTTATAGTAAACTTTTCAAATGAAAGAAAATAGCAACCCAACCTCAGCCATGCTTAACCGTCCTAATTCCAACTTAAATTGAAGCATTTACCCAATGTATCAAAATTCAGTTCATCTGAATGTATCCTCAGTACCTAGCACAATTACTGCATGTAAATAAATAGTTGTCGAAAGAGTGAGAAGATGGGTAGATAAATTAGGACTGATGGATAAAATATAGAGAAAGTTGCATAATTATTGCTTTATATATTGGTGAAGACTTTAGGCCATTAGGGAACAGCCATGTATGTGCACATAGAAGACAAATCTCACTTTGTTTCACACAAAAACCACAGCAAAATATTTGCACATTGTGGTGACACTAGACAGTCTAGATGCTATTTTTCAGTCTCATGTTTCTTTAGTAAAATTTTAAAACCAATTTAGAAAATGTACAAAATTCAGATAAAACTGAAAATTTCCTTCAAATATCTAGAGTTTTCCGTGTCATATGATTAGTAACACTGGCGTAACACTATCCTGCCATGTGAAGCAATTTTAGTTTTCACAAAGAATATTTATATACTCTGTGTCCCCATTTTATTCTATCTCACATCCTTAAGATGCTAAATGGCTTTTCACAAAGTATAGCTGTCTTAGTCTGTCCAGGCTGCTATAACAAAATACCTTAGACTGTGTCATTTACAAAAAAACAGAAATCTATTTCTCAGAGCTCTAGAGGAGGGAAGTTCAAGATCAAAGTGATGACAGATCCAGTGTCTGATGAGGCTTGTGCTCTGCCTCAGAGATGGCGCCTTATTGCTGTGACTCCCCTTCCTCCTCACCCTTAGAGCAGAAGGGCAAGGCAGCACCTTCAACTTCTTTTATAAAGGCCTTAATCCCATTTATGAAGATGGAGCCCTTATGACTTAATCATTCCCTAAAAGACTCCACCTCTTAATCATAGTATTAGGTTCTAACGTAAGAATTGGGGGGACACCAACATTGAGACCATTGCGATAGGTGTTTCCACCTTGTATTGCACTTTGCTCCAGCTCACTTAGCCCAGTAGAAAGGAACACACATTTAGCTCAGATTAGGGGTTCCCACAATATGAATGGCTGACACTCATTTCTGTGTCTGCTCATGATGAATCTCTAACGCAGATGCACTCTCCTGTTCACCAGGTCTAATCCACAACTTAGCACACCACATAATTTATCGTTCTGTTATTTTTACTGTCTGTAATTGTTTCGTGTGCTTTCCTTGTCTCTCCACCTATAGCATGAGTATTTAAGGGAAGAACCCGGTCTTTTGCTTCTTCTGTGTCACTCAGATGGTCTAACACATGCTAAGCATATAATATACACCCAATAAACAGAATATTTACTGCCTAAGGAGAGGATTACACAAGAACAAGAACAATAGGAATACACAACAACAATTACTTTCAAAGGATTTTAAACATAATATCCTGTTTCACTTAGAAAGGGTACTGAAGAAAACCAGATAGAAACATATCTGATTTTGTATCTTGTGCTTTGTATTACATACTTTTAAAAAAAGGAAAGAAATACTGGAGTTTATTTTAAAAATTAAAAAGTGGAAAAATATTTGCTTAAAATGTTTGCAGACTCTGCTTGGGTTTAAGGCAATTTCTACTCAGCTTTTAAAAACAGAGTATTTTGATTTCTGATAGTAACAAGTCTAAACACGGCACATAGGGAAAAAGAAGACTGTGTAACTCATATTAATGAATCAATTAATATGTGTATGATGGATGCAAGCCACAGTTCACAGGCAGCTACTTGTCTGGTCCAGAACCCTATCAGTCTATTACCATCCATCATATGAGTCAGCAGGAAAAACAGCTCAAGGGATATTAGAGACCATAAGTCAATTCTGACCAGAATGGTCTCTTATTTGCTTTATTTATTTTGTATTAGCTGATACTCGTGTACTTTTGCTACTATATTGTGTTACAGATTATCTAACTTAAAGAAATGCACCCACATCCACACAGATGTCAGACTCTAACATTTAGCCTGGCCTGATCAAAAGCGGAGGATAACATTAGTGTCTAATTTCAATAAACACTTAGCAGGTGAACTGACTTCTTCCTCACCCTTCCTATTTGTTGCATATTTATTCCATTTTTTTCTATTAATGTGGAACATAAATTTATGGGTGGGACATAAATTATTGGTGGCCTTAACCGTGATTCAATGCATAGCAGTATCTATCAGGATTCTCTTCATTGTTAACCACAAGGGAACATTTTACATAAAAATACCAAAAGGACTATATTTTGAAGGGTTTCTCATAGCTCACATGATGTCCTACTAAAGATTTCCTTTATGCCACAACAGAACCATTCTCTTCTCCCACTGCCTCCCTCTAGGGACCTCCCCACAATACCCAGCACAACCACCATTTCATGTTAAATCTCTTCAACACGATAGGTTCCTTTTCACAAAATTTTTCAAACTCCTACAACTACCAATATCAATAATTTTTTTAAAAACCCCAAAGGCCCAATACTTATTCTTTTTCCCTTGCATCGTACAAATTTCCTGGTGCAATTAAAGCCTCAACCATCCCTGTTCTCCTCACGTCATAATTGTTTCCAAGAAAAGGAACACAGTATGAGTATTCACCTTGATGTGGTGACATTGGTTCTCTATCCATTGGGAGGAAGAGGTCCCACCTGCCCTCACTGAACTCACAAGGCAGCATGAGGGCCTCTGTGTGTGACAGCCCTGGACAAATGGGCTATTGTGCCTGCTGTAAGGAGAAGGGGGATTTTAAACTCTAGTATTCAGTTTTCCCAGCACCATGTGATTCCAAAAACAGCAGGTTAAAGTGAATATGAAGGAGAAAGAAGTGTCTCAATAGCATTTTGCAGCCTGAATGCAGTAAGTGGGAAACCTGGTTGTTATTTTAGGACCATTTGACTTGCACTTGATGGGAAAAAAAGGTTGAACTTGATGGGGAAAAGAAACTAGCAGCATCCAGAATAGTGTCAGGCACACATGTGCAATACAATGTTTTTAACTGAATTAACAGTCTGGTATTATGTAGATGGTTAGTGGACACACTACTCACTAGCTGATGCAGGAGTCACTGTTCAACCACAAAAATTCTGGGAATGTTTCAACCTTTGGATAACCTGTGGATCAGCACCTCACGACTCAGAATCTATGCCTCCCTGGGACTGGGGCTCTGTTCTGCTGGAAATCAGTTTGGGACACTGGGGAAAAATGCACTTTGGAGTTCAGGCAGCATAAAGCCCAGCTTTTTCAACGGATAGATGTGAGCTCTTGCACAATTTACTAATTGAGGCTGTTCAAAACTTAGTTTTCTCTCAGTCAACAGAGTAAGGACATAATCCATGCATTGGGAGAAAATATTTGCAAACCATACATCCAGTAAAGGGTGAATGTCCAAAATATATAAGGAACTCAAACAACTCAATAGCAAGAAAACAAATAACCCGATAAAACAACGGGCAAAGGACCTAAATGGACATTTCTCAAAAGAAGACATACCAATGGCCAGCAGGTTTATAAGAAAATGCACATCACTAGTAATCAGAGAAAATGCAAATTAAATCCATAGTGAGAGATCACCTCACACCTTTTATAATGGCTCATATCAAAAAAAAATAGCGAGGATATAGAGAAAATGGAACTCTTGCTCACTGTTGGTGGGAATGTAAATTAGTACAGCCACTATAGAAAATAACACAGAGGCTCCTCAAAAAATTAAAAATAGAACTACTATATGATTCAGCAATCCCACTACTGAGCATATAACCAGAAGAAGTGAAATCAGTATGTTGAAGAGATATCTTCATCCCCATGTTCATTGCAGCACTACTCACAATAGCCAAGATACAGAATCAAACTAAGTGTCCAACAACAGATCAATGATTTTTAAAATGTGATACATGTGTACAATAGAATACTGTGCAATACAAATAAGGAAATCATGTCATTTGCAACAACATGGTTGAACTTGGAGGATATTATGTTAAGTGAAATAAGCCAGGCACACCAAGACAAATACTGCATAATCTCACTTGTACGTACAATCTAAAAAAGGTGATAACATAGAAGCAGAAAGTAGAATGGTGGTTACCAGGGACTGTGAGGAAGGAGAGGAAAGAAGACTGAGGAAAAGTTGATCAATGGGTACAAAATTTCACTTAGATAGGAGGAATAATTTCAACAGATCTGTTGTATAAAATGATGAACATAATAACAATGTGCTGATTTTTGAAAATTGCTAAAAGAGTAGATTTTAAGTGTTCTTAACAAAAAATGGTAAGTATTTGAGGTAATGCATAGGTTAATTAGCTCAACTGAGCCATTCCACAGTGTATAATTTTTTTTTTTCTTTTTTTTTGAGATAGGGTCTCACTCTGTCACCTAGTCTGGAGTGCTGTGGTGTGATCTGGACTCACTGCAACCTCTGCCTCTTGGGTTCACACAATTCTCCTGCCTCAGCCTCCCAAGTAGCTGGGATTACAGGCACATGCCACCACACCCAGCTAGTTTCTGTATTTTTAGTAGAGATGGGGTTTTGCCATGTTGGCCTGGCTGGTCTCGAACTCCTCACCTGAAGTGATCTGCCCGCCTCGGCCTCCCAAAGTGCTGGGATTACAGACATGAGCCACCATGCCTGGCCCACACTGTATAACATTTCAAAATATCACATTGTATACAATAAATATACACAATTTTTATTTGTCAATTGAAAAACAAAAACAAAATATATTAAAAACAAAAATAAACTCTTAGTTTCCTCAACTATAAGATGGAGGTAAAAGAATGTTTCTATCACGCAGTTGATGTGAAGATCTAATAAGGAAATGAATAAGAAATTACCTAGCACAGTGCCCAACTAAATATTGCTTCGGCTCCTTTCCTACCTCTCCCCTTATGATTGCCCCCAAGGAAGCACCTGTCCTGACCTAGTGGCGGACTTTCAGATGAGACTGAGCTGCCTGCCTTCCTGGACCTATCAATCACTTCCTGGCATGGATTCTCCATTTGTGTTGACATCTTGCTGTCAATCCACCTGGATTACTCATTGTTTCTTTCCAAAAATACATATTATATGCCTTCTATGCACCAGGCACTGTAATAGGCAAAGGGATGGGACTGTCTTCATAGACTTTATCCTCTCGGGGCACAGGATACCCTGATACAAACTATCACTTTGGTTCTACCATTTCTACAGTTATCATTTTCTGGCACTATCTGCAGTTATCTGTCATCTGGAAGACCATACTCATGCCACCCTCCCTATGCCGCTCCCTGACGCCTATTTTAGCTTATGCAATGTGCCTGGTTTAAGACAGTGGCCTCTTCCTCTCTGTCCTACTTTACTGTGCTTTTTTGACTCCACCCTTCCGTCATTCTGCACATCTTTGGTCACCTAACCATCTCAACTTGTGCTTTATTTTTTTGTTAGCATAAGCAAGGTATATTTTATTTACTATAAAATTCAACAATTGTACAATTTGGTGAGACTGAGTAAGCACATATGACTATGAACTTCCACACAACACTGATATAGAAAATGTTTATCATCCTGCAAGAATCCCTTACCCACTTTGGTGTTATCTCTCTCCCACAACCCTTGGCCCTTGCAAACACTAATTGCAATTTTGTGCCTAGCCTCTTTCAGTTAACCTACACTTTGGAAATTCATCTACATTGTTATATGTATTAGTAATAGCTTTGTATTTCTCACTAGGTTTTCACTATGTAAACATATCAAAACTTGTTTATTTATTCACTAAATGATAGACATGCAGTGCTTTCCAGTGTCAGATATTTTGAGTAAAGCCGTTATGAGCAGTTGTACACATGTCTTTGTATAGAAACAGATTTTCATTTATTTTGGATAAAATACCTAAAATGAAATTGTTGTGGCATGTGATACTGGTTTAATTGTGTAGGAAACTGGTAAACATTTCCAACGTGGCTGTATCACTTTGCATTCTTTCAACAATGTATAAGTGTTCTAATTAGTGGCTCTCCATCCTTGCAAAGACTTGCTATTGCCAGTCCTTCAACTTTCAGCCATTCTAGTGTGTGTATAGTGGGATATCACATGTGGTTTTAAATTGCACTTCATTAATAACTAGTGAAGCTGAGCATTTTTTATGTATTTGTTTGCCATTTGTATACATTCATCGGTGAAATTTCTCTTCAAATATTTTGCCCATTTTAATTAGGTTTTTTGTCTTCCTGTTGAGTTGTAAGTGGATGGTTAATTGCTCCAGAACAATTTATTTTAAAAAAATTATTTCTCCAGCTTAAAAGAAAGTCAATTAGACATACACGACTGACTATTTTTGGAGTTTATATTCCCTTCCATTGGGCTATTTGTCTATCCCTATGTCATTACTACACTATTTGACTACTTCAGCTTTAAAAAATCTCAAAATCAGGTAGTTAATAATCTTCAACTTTGCTCTATTTTCAAAGCTGTTTTGACTTTTATTGGTTCTTTGCATTTCCGTATAATATAATTCTACAAATATTTTTCTACAGAAAAGCAGTTTTGTATCAATTTTATTCTATACCTTTCTTTCTCTAGCAAAAATCTACTGGGATACTAATTTTGATAGCACTGAATCTATAGATTAATCTCGGCAGAACTAACATCTGAACAACCAATATCCATGATTGCTTACAATCCATGAGCATGGCATTTCTCTCTGTTCATTTACAGATTTTTCTGGCAATGTTTCCTAGTAGTCCATGTACCGGGCTTGCCTATACTTTGTTCAGTTTATCCCTGCAATTTTATACCAGCTATTATACTGAATTTTAAATTTCAATTTCTTATTGCTTTTTGCCAATATATATAAATGCAATTGCTTTGTTGAATACTGATTCCATATCCTATTTCCTTGCTAAATTCAGTCATTATTTTCAGTACAGATTTTGTCAATTCCTTAGAATTACCTATATGGATGTTCAGGCCATCTGCAAATAAAGAGTTTAACTTCTTTCTTTTTACTGAATACGACTTTTGTTTCTTTATCTTGTTTTATTACACAAGCTAGAACTTCCAGTCCAAGATTGAAGGAATTGATAAGCACAGACATCCTTGCTTTATTCTGTTCTTAAGGGGAAAGTACACAGTCTTTTAAGAATAACTTTGTTAGCTGCTGGTTTTTCCTCCAAAACCCATTATTATCTCAGAAAATGGTTTCTTTTTATTCTTAGTTTACTGATAGTTTTGAGCAATATTAATGATGAACGGATGTTGAATTTTGCCAAATGCTTTTTTGGATATAATGAGATAATTACATTTTTTTGTTTTTAATATAGTAAATGATATTATATAATTTTCAAATATTGAACAAATCTTAATTTTCTGAGATAACACTTGCTTTGCCATGATTTATTATTGTTTTTATAGACTGCTATATTTGACCAATAATATGTTAGTATTTTATTTATCTACGTGATGAAGACATAGATCTACCAACTTCTTCATCTGGTTTCAGTACCAAGGTAATGCTGGCTTTATAAAATGTGTTGAGAAGTTGTAATATGCTTACTTCTAAGGTAGTTCCCCAAGCTTTCCAGCCCCAGCCTATAGGACTGTGCACATTAATATAATGAGATACCATATTGCTTCTATATGCATATGATGGGATATTTCATGATTATGTTACATTACATGGCAAAAGGGATTTTGCAGATGTACTTAAGTTTACTAACCAGTTGACTGAGTTCATCAAAAGAAAAATTATCTGAGTGAGTCTAATCTGATCATGGGAGCCCTTTAAAAGCAGAGTTTTGTCAAGCTGATGATGAAAGAGGAAGTCAGAAATATTTTAAGTATGAAAAGGAATGCAGAGAGCTACAAGGAGCAGAGAGCAGGCCCCATGTACTAGCCAGCAAGGAAATAGGGCTATTAGTTCTACAACCACAAGGAACTGAATCCTACCTACCAACAACCAGAAGGGGCCTGCAAGAGGACTCTTCCCTGGAGCCTCCAGGCAAGAGCCCAGGCTAACATCTTGATTTTATCCTTGTGAGACCGTAGCAGGGATCCTATTTGAGTCAACTGGACTTCTGACATACAGAACTATGAGTTAATAAGTGGGAATTGCTTCAAGCTATTAAGTTAATGGTAATTAGTTACATAGCAATAGAACAGTGACACTGAAGTATTCTTTCTCCTTCAAATATAAAATATTATATTATCACTGGTTATTAGAAATTTGATTATCATGTGTTCTAGAGCAGTTTTCTTCATTTTTTTTTTCTTGGAGCTTCTTGTATGTATGGATGTATAATTTTCAACAAACTTGAAAAATTTCATTATTATTTCTTTAAATATGTTTTTCTATCCCTTTATCTCTTTCCTATCCTTTTCAGACTCCAATTATACATGTGTTTGGACTGCTTGATGCTGCCTCAACACTCACTGACCTTCTGTTCATTTTTTTTAGTCTCCTTTTCTTTCTGTAGTTCACTGTGGTCAGTGCATATTATTATGTCTTCAAGTTGATTAATTCCTTCTGCAGTTTCTATGCTGCTATTAATCCAATCTGGTTTTATTCTTATGTCAGATATTTTATTTTTAATCTTTAGGTGTTAAATATGCATCTTTTTCATATCTTCTGTTTTTCTTATATTTTTTCTTTCCTCAAACTTCCTGAACATAGGAATACACTTATAATTGCATTAACATCCTTGCCTACTAATTGTCATCTCTTTTATTTTTGGCTCCATTTCTACTGAATAATTTTTTGTCTCTTGGTTATGGGTTATATTTTCCTGTGTCTTTGCATGACTGATAATTTTTGATTGGATACTAGAAATTATAAATTTTACATTGTTGGATGCTAGATTTTTTAAAATTATTTTTTGGGCTTCTTGCTGTGATTAAGTTGCATTACTTAGAATTAGTTTGATTCTTTCCAGAATTAATTTTAAGCTTTTCTAAGACAGGTCCAGTACATCCTATAGTTTGGGGCTAATTTGGCACCACTGCCAAGGCCTTCTGAGGACACTGCACAATCCCCCACGTATTAAGAGATGTTCTCCCTCTGTCTGGCAGGAGCACAAAATATTAACAGCCCCATGTGTGCTCCAGTGATTGTCTCACCTCATCTATTTCTCCAGCATTTTTTTCCTGCCCTCAGTCTCCTTACACACACATAGTTGAGTATGTTGCCAAAGTCTCAAGGAAGCTCTTTAAAGATTTCAAGCTCACTCTCTGTTTGTGTACGAAACTTCTTTCTGGTACTTAGCCCTGCAGCTTCTCCTCAGAACTCTGAATTCTGCCTCCTCAACTCAGCAAGACCATCAGATACTGTCTGGGTTTCCCTTCCTTGATCTGCATGCCGGAAAATATTTTCCTTCTGTGAGCTGAAGCACTTGCAGGACTCATCTTAATTATTTTTCTGCTGAGGATTGGTGTTCTGTGCTCTGTGTTTTCCAATATCTGAAACACACGGTTTCACATATTCTGTCTGGTTTTCTAGTTGTGTAATGTCTAATGGTAAGTTCAGGTTCTTTTATTTTCTCACGGCCCAAAGCGGAAGTTTTAGGCACTCAGTACTCATAAACTCCAAAACTATATACTAAGAACCTACACAGGCCAAACGAGTAATGCAAATGAATTTTGAAATATCACTGGAAAAGAACAGGACTTTCACAAATAATTTGTACTTTAAAAATAAAATATAGGACGAAGAAAAGTTCATCTGCAGCCTAGCAGGCCACCATTTTGTGTACTCAGTTCTAAACTCTTCTCCTTCCATTCCACCTTTGAGTATAAATCAAAATGATTAGAAAGTCCTCTCTTGCAAACCTCTGATAGGATGTGTATACCTGGTATGCATTTATTCAGCACATTAATCTTTAGGAATGTTTGCATTTTCTGCCTCAACTATACTTATGTTTTCTTTCTTCTTAGAAAATCACAGAATTTCAGCCAAAATTTGAGGGAGGTATATGTAAGAAGGTAGCAGAGCAGAACGGAAAAGTGGAAGACTCCAGTAAGAACTCTGAAAAATCACACCTGCTTTATCCTGACTGGTAGCCAGATGTACAATGACTCAATGCTGAACATTAAAACTTAAGCAAGGATAGTGGTTATAATTGTCTTTTTCTTCAGAAAAGACTGTGACACTCTAGCTAACTGCTGGATCTAATCAGTTCTGAAGGATTAAAATATTAATATACATTCACAAGTTGTAAATACATGCACATAGTTATGCATAATTTCTTTACAATTGACTACATATAAAGTACATGCAGTAACATTTCAAAATGAGTGTAAACAACCCATATCTTGAAAAAGCAATAATTCTTTAAAAATGTCACAAGGAAGTGGGTAATTATTACTCACAAACATCCTTAAATTAAGCCTCATATTTTTATCTCGACTTCACATGCGTATAGTAACCAAAGCACAAAATGCTGAATTAGCTGAGGATTATCTAGCTGTCTATCTCTAACCAAGAGTAACACCAACGACAGCAGAGCCCCTGTGTTCCTGTGTCGTAACACAGTTATTCAACTTCTGGAGGAGCAGAATGACACCTGGGAAAATAATTTGAGAAACATACCTAGAATGGTAGAATTGATCAATCAAATTCGGTGAATTGGAAAGGTATTTTACAGCCTTGGAACTTTAAGGGGATTAAGAGGAAATACTATAAATGCTGCCAAGATTTCCCACCAGCACTCCGGAAAATGAAAAACTGATGTTTTGCACACTTCAACTCATATAGGAGTTAAAAGGAAATTATTTAGGCAGACAGTGAAAGTAAGGACGTCCTCGGTAAGGTTTTCCTTTTAATGAAAAGCAGCCCCAAAATAATTTTCTAACAAAGAGCAGCCTGTAAAATCGAGCTGCAGACATAGACAAGCAAGCTGGAAGCTTGCATGGGTGAATGCCAGCAGTTGTGTCTATAGAAAAAGGCTACCTATGACTAGGGATGATCAAAATGGCAGCTGCATTTTCCCTTCTCTTTGCCAAACCACGTGTACAGTAGTAAGGAGCAGACAACATGGTGCTGGTGAAGTAGAAAGTCTGTTTGCATAATAAGACTAGGATAGGGTGACAAGCCTTCCCGTGAGTGATATGTAAATGTCACACCTGGTCAAACCAATCTCTGGGCCCTACGTAAATCAGACACCGCCTCCTCAAGCCTGCCTATAAAATCGGCTACAGTCACCGCAAGTGGGATTTTCCTTTTGGAAGCCCCTCTCCCTCACTAGGAAGAGAGCTCTTCTCCTTTCTCCTTCTTTTGCCTATTAAACCTCTGCTCCCTACCTCCTCTTGCTCAGTCTTCTGAATCTCTGTCCAGGGTTTACATGCCCAGAGGTGGGTCCTGAGGCCCCCACCCAGGTTCACATTTCAGCCCTGCAGTGTTGGGGGCTGAACCTGCTCAGTCCCTCATCTCTAGGAAGAGGGATCACGCAATAGTCAGCGGTAGGGGGTGGGGGCCAGATTTCAGTTTTCTCTTCTACAAATAATGCTGGTGTGTGTGCATTGTTGTAAGGGTATTTTTGCAACATAAATTTGTTAAAACAGAAAAAAAAAATACTCTCTGGTCCTAAGCTCCTCATGTGTGCCCATCTCCTTAATCTGCTTGGCGCAAGAGGATGAACCCCGGGTATTTACCCCAGACAATGATGCTGCTTCACAATCTAAGAATAAACTGGTGACAGAAATACAGCAATACAGATCTCACATAAGAACACCTGAGGGAATGTATAATCCAACAAATGAGTGATCAGTAGGCACTGAGCTCTCATTATGAGAACCTACATGTCAAACGTGTGCTACACATCCCATCCCATCCACCTGAAGGCTGCTCAGTGATGATGGAAAATAAATCATTCATTTCACTGGCTCTATGCAAATTTGTTTTTTAAAACTACCAAGTGAAAATAAAGCCTGGGCTTTCTCAGAAATAAAATAAATTTAATTGTATGTCATCTTCATTATTTTAACATAACCACGGCCTTCCCTAGGGCTAATCTTTGGAGAAGTTGATGGTGCTTGGTGTGATGTAAGAGCAATCAGATAGCACCAGCCATTCTTGACAAATTCTTAACAAGCTATACCTGCCTATAATCATCTTGACAAATTCTTAACATGCTACACCTGCCTATAATCCACCAATTGGAAAATCATATTAACTAACGAGTATGATGTCTATTTCATAGGTGAGGTATTTACTTAAAGTGTTAAGGTCTGGGAAACCAGTCAGGGCTTGCCGTGATCTATTGAATTATTATTATTTTTTGAATGCAGAGACATTTTATTTTTTTACGTCTTCCCACTTCTATAGTTATCTTGCCCAAATTTATATATAATATATACATATATATATTTTCACTTTTATTTTAGATACAGGGGGTTCATATGCAGGTTTGTTACGTAGTTACAGTGCATCCCGGTAGCAAGCACAATACCCAATAGTTTTTCTACCCATACGCTGCTCTTTCCTTCCCCACTCTAGTAGCTCACAGTGTCTACTGTTCTCATGTTTACGTCCGTGAGTGCTCAATGTTTTTATTTTAGCCACGTTTCAGACACAATCCCTATTTCCTTCAACTATTCAGTGAAGAATCCTGTTGATCACCTTCTTGAATTCGTTTTTCCTTCCTTCCTTCCTTCCTTCCTTCCTTCCTTCCTTCCTTCCTTGTCTTTTTTTTTTTTCCTAGGGGAGGGTGCTTCATTCTCATTATAAAAGGCCTGTAGTTTAGGACTTCATTTCTCATCTGGATTGTTACTTCCTCGAATCCTATTTTGTCCTGGCAGTCTATTATACAGATAACATGCAGATGTTTAAAGAAGACCTTTAATAATCAGGCCCCTGACTACATTTGTCACCTCATCCTTTGTCACTCTGTTACAGGAAAGAGGTCTGGATCCAGACCCCTAGAGAGGGTTCTTGGATCTCACAAGAAAGGGTTCAGGGCGAGTCCACTGAGTAAAGTGAAAGCAAGTTTATTAGGAAAGTAAAGGATTAAAAGAATGGCTACTCCATAGACAGAGCAGCCTGGAGGGCTGCTAGTTGCCCATTTTTATGGTTATTTCTTGATGATATGCTAAACAAGTGGTGTATTATTCATGCATCCCCCTTTTTAGACCATATAGGGTAACTTCCTGACATTGCCATGGCATTTGTAAACTGTCATGGTGCTGGTGGGAGTGTAGCAGTGAGGACGACCGGAGGCTACTGTTGTGGCTATCTTGGTTTTGCTGGGTTTTGGCCGGCTTCTTTACTGCAACCTATTTTATCAGCAAGGTCTTTATGACCTGTATCTTGTGCTGACCTCCTATCTCATCCTGTGACTTAGAATGCCTTAACCATCTGGGAATGCAGACCAGTAGGTCCGGCCTCATTTTACCCTGCCCCTACTCAAGATGGAGTTCCTCTGGTTCACACACTTGTGACAAGTCCAGCCAAACGCTGCAGCCAGAACACAAATTATTATACCCTGCAGAAGAGCTCCTGTGGTCTCATCTCCTTTAGGACATGCTATTTTCTTTACAAAAAGTTCCCTCCCTGGCTCCCCACATATTTCATATCATTCTGGCCATGAATTCTTTTGGCCAAGATAACCCCTACTTACTTTTCAAGATCCACAATTAGTGCCACCTCTTCTTTGAGTTCTTCCCTGATCATACCCCATGGCATCCCCTGGCTGCATGCAATCACCTTTTTCTACACTCAGTAGGCTTCTGCACATAATGCTATCATAGCGACACAATGATCAGGGCTCACAACAGGGCCCTGAAGCAATATAAGCTACTTGAGGGCAGGGATCATGTATTTCTCTTATCTTTTCCACTGACTCACCTTGTGTCTTGTGCTGAATAAATTTTGGTGAGTAGACAAATGAGAACACTAGAAGTAATTTTGACAATAAACACATAAAACACTTGGAGTACAAATACTAGTGGGAAATTACCGATGTCTTCTCATCGCAAACCATTTTACAGATGGATTCATTCATTCATCAAATAGTTACTGATATCCTGTAATGGGTCAAGCTTTTGCTGGGGATTCAGTAACATCCATCATGGCCTGGGAGGAAACTAAAGGTAAACTCCAATGGGGTAATTTGGGGATAATTTAATTAACACACTGACATACAAAGGTGTGAGCAAGGTGAAGTTAAACCACAAGGGGTATTGCAGCTCTCCTCTATCCACACCCTTTCTGAATAGATTCTTCCTGAATTATCCTGATTTGAGTGTACTATCTGTTCACTATTAAAACTCTAACTAGGCCAGGCACGCTAGCTCACACCTGTAATCCCAGCACGTTGGGAGGCTGAGGCGGGTAGATCACCTGAGGTCAGGAGTTCAAAACCAGCCTGGCTAACCTGGTGAAACCCTGTTTCTACTAAAAATAAAAAAAATTGGTCAGGCGTGGTGGCACGCACCTGTAATCCCAGCTACTCAGGAGGCTGAGGCAGGAGAATCCCTTGAACCCAGGAGGTGGAGGTTGCAGTGAGCCGAGATTGTGCCATTGCACTACAGCCTGGGTGACAAAAGCGAAACTCCATTTCAAAAAAAAAAAAAAAAAAAAGACTGAGTCAAACGTAAATCCAGAATTTGGCCACTACGTGTCTTCTTCAAGATTCACCTCCTGGCCATGCACGGTGGTTCACGTCTGTAATTCCAGCGCTTTGGGGAGTCTGAGGCAGGCAGATCACTTGAGATCAGGAGTTCGAGATCAGCCTGTCTAGCATGGTGAAACCCTATCTCTACTAAAAATACAAAAAAAATTAGCCAGGTATGGTGGCACATGCCTGTAGTACCAGCTACCTGGGAGGCTGAGGCAGGAGAATGGCTTGAACCTGGGAGGTGGAGGTTGCAGTGAGCCAAGATCATGCCACTGCACTCCAGCCTGAGCAACAGAGCAAGACTCCATCTCAAAAATAAAATAAAATAAAGTAAAATAAAATAAAATAAAAAGATTCACCTCCTTAGTCTAAACCATCCCATCCCTGTCTCTCACTTCAACAGGAACCTCTCCCTGGTCTCCCTGTTTCGTGTCCTGTGTTTACTTCTCCACAGAGCCCTGGAGAGGCACCTTTTAAAATGCTAATCAGATCACACCACGTTTTCTAACCAAAGCTCTCTAATGCATCACCATCACACATGGAATAAACTTCAAATTCCTTTCCATGGTTCCCATGGCCCTGCAATGATAGGGCCATAGCCCAGGTCTTTCCCACTTACATTATCCGCTGTCACTCTCCATCCTAGCCTTCTAGTTGTTGATTTGAAAAGGCCCAGCCACATGCCACCTTCCAGGCTTGCATGGAATTGTCTTCCCTCAGGTTTTCACAGGACTCATTTCCCCCATTCATGTAGGTCTGTGCTTAAAGCCACCTCCTAAAAGAAGACTTCCCTGAGTACTCTATCTAGAATGGCTGCCCTGTTCAACATTCATTGACAATTTTCAGGTGGTCTGACCTGTTTGTAATGAACTTGGTATCTTATTTATTAAGGTTGGTGCAAAAGTAACGGCAGTTTTTGCAATTAAAAGTAAGGGCAAAAACCTCAGTCACTTTAGCACCAACCTAATACCTGAAGAAAATACAGTCAGCCTTCCATATCCATGAGTTCTGGATCTACAGATTCATTCAACCCCAGATGAAAAGTATTCTTTAAAAGATAGAATAAAAATAACACAAACAAAAAATAATACTCTATAACAACCATTTACATAGCATTTGCATTGTATTAGGTATTATAAGCAGTTTAGAGACAAAGTATACGAGAGGATATGTGTAGGTTTTATGCAATTACTGTGATATTTTATGCAAGGGACTTGAGCATCCATGAACTTTGTTTTCTGAGGCAGATCCTGGAACCAATATCCCGAACTACCAACAGACAATTATATATGTGTTGTGGTCAAGGACTGTACTTGGGCTAACACCTACTAGCAATTAACAGTAAATAGAAAACACCTAATTTTAAATAGGTTCATATTTTAATATATCTAGATACCATTTCCATATGTTTCTCGTTTTACCACTGTGTGTAAATCTTTTCTGCCTCTGATGAAAAATAATTACATAAATTTTCTCTTATAAGAAGCATTTTCTCTCATTTGGTCAAATTTGTATGAACATTCATTCATTCATTCATTTATTACTGCTACCATATCAAATTATAAACCTGCCCCCTTTCAGTATCATCTTCTTCTATGAAAAATAATCATTTTTTTCAGCCAATTTGAACAAGGCAATAAATTTAGAAATCAATATAAGTCAAGTTGCAATATATACCCCTGGAAGAATTAGGTGTGAATATAAATAGAATAATTTTAAGTCAGTTACATTCAATATTATTAAAAGGGAAGTTAAAAATATAACTGTATGCCCATCTGCTAAGGAAATCTCTCTAAGAGCAATAGATATATTTATAGCCAATAAAAATCTATTTTCCCAAATAAAGAAGAAAATCTTTCCATCACAACGTAAATTTTAAAATCTCATGTCTGTATTTTTCTGAATGATCATTTAATTTGACGCTACTATTGTTGAAAAATTATGTCTAGTACACTGCAAATTCTACCATCTGCCTTCAGAAATTCTCCAGAATATCTTTCAAAGATTGATAAATTATTCATTTCCTGAAGTTGTGCATCAGAGCTTCACAGCTCATAAATAGTATAAAGTAAATGATGCAGGATATACCTTACAGACACCAGATTTGTAAAGGAACCCTGTATATGCTCTGTTTTCCATACAGAAAACGTGGTTTCATTCATTGATATGTTTTGACGTTCTTCCAGGGATTATGGAACTTTACCTAACCTAGCCATTTAATTTGCGTCTAAATAGATAGGTTTTAGATTGAACCAATTTTAGATGTATCAAAAAAACTGTCTTCCTGCAGCATTTAATCTCCATTTGGAAAGAGCCAGTATATAGAAATCCTTTTGCTTTGTATCCTTTTCTGATCAAGACCTAGCCTTCACCACGTATTTATACATTTGATGACAGAATTTTACCCTTAGCTCTTCATTTTTCTCATGTAAATTGAAATCCTTTTTCTTTTTCTGATCAATTCACTGCAAGACCAATCCACAGTGAATTCTCATACATGAAAGGAGAGGTTGTCTGTGGAGCTGATTTGCCTACAACCATAACATGATTATTTTGGAAGAATGTGACATAACGGGGCCTTCTGATGGCCACCCCATCCTGCTATTCTGCCCCCAAAGCTAATAAGCTTTTCCAGTTAGAGACTCCTTGATATTTGTCAAAGTTATTAACTTTTACCTGTTAAAAACATACAAGTAACAGCAGTGGAGATTTCAGTTAGGCACTGTACAGCTGAACACTTGGAGACCTCAGAAAGGCAACTAGTTCTTATAATAGTGTGAGAAACTCCAGGATAACGATGGTGGACACAACTCTATACTCAGCCTAACACAAGTTAAAAGCACAACTTTATGAACCTGCTGTGAAGCAAAATGCCATCTTCACTTTCTACCTGTGTTTAGCTCTTGCATTTGAGTGAATGTGAGATATACCTTTCATCCCTCAAGAATCCCAGGACCATTGCCTTACCAAGTGTCAGTATCTACTGAAGTAGAGCGTTCTCTTAACCTGCATGCCTGCAATACCAATTCTAAGCATGAACTTGAACAAAATGTGTATATGTTCATCAAAAGACACATAGAAGAATGTTTTTCACGGTATTATTAGTAATAGCCAAATATTAGAAGCCACTCAATGTCCATCATCAATAGAATGAATAAATTGTGGTATGTCTGTGCCGTGAAATCCTAGGCTCAGTGAAAATGAACACAACAATGTAGATTAACCATATAACATTATGGAAATGAAGCCAGACACACACAAAAAAACCCACATAAGTCATTTGTATAAAGTTCAAGCATTAATACAGGGTACCAGAAGTTAAATAATATCACCTTTTGATGGGCATATTGATTATTAGTCTTATAATTAATAATAGTAACTGAGAAGGATCAGTAGGATTCTTCTGAAATTTTTGTGATACTATTTTTTATTTCTTCACTTGGGTGCCAGCCACATGAGCATGTTTACTTTATAAAAATTCACTGTGCTGTGCCCTTACAATTTATCCGTATTTCTGTATGTAGGTCGTATTTCAATAAGTTTTTAAAAAACCAAAACTTCAAAAGGTCCCAAAATGAGCAAAACATATCAACTAGAAGAACGAATATTTTCCCAAGTTATCAGCTCACATATAATGCCGGCACAAAAACACAGTGAATTATCAGAAAAACATAAAGTTTCTATCTTTTCTGTTACTAGTTTGAAACTTCCCGAAGAGATTGATTTTCTCCGGAGTTCCACACATTTCATGTAGATCAAAGTAGAGTTCTGATTTAGATGTGTCAGTTCATAGCATGATTTCTGAATGGACATTTGACACGGAATAATTATACAGATCATCACTGAGAAACAGATCAAAATCATTTGGGGGAAAATTCCCTGACCCAACTTTTACATATGCGGCTGTCATGCTCTCAAACAAGAAACAAAAAAACACAGCACAGAAACCAGAATGCCATCCCACGCTTCCTTCATTAAAGGTCACTTTACTTTGTTGACAAAATTTGAGCAGTGATGAAGAGCCAGTGCCCTCAAGGAATTTCCCATTCTGGTGATCTTTTGCAGATCTCACTTCCCGTGATGTTATAACCATGGACTTCATCAGAGCAATTCACACCAATCACAGCTGACAAAATTAAGCTGTATCATATGCGGGTCACTGAAATGCAGAGTCATTGTTTCCTCAGTTTTGCTGGCTAGGCTTTTTGATCCCTGGGGATGGTTTTGAAGCTGCAAATTCAGTGAATCAGCACCCCTGATAGAAGTCTGATTCTTTCATCTTCCCTCCAGTGTCTATTATCCACTCACACAAGGATTTCAATTTAGGGGTGATCAAGAAAGCAACATCTAGCTTCAAGCAGTAATTGTCTCTTTTGATGTGATCTGTTTTACATAAAAATGAATGAAGATGCACATCTCTGGAGGAGAACTTGACATTTTTAAAGAATCAGTAAGCAATTTGCCTCCTGAAACTACGTAAGGAAAATTAGTCTTCCTCCATTTGTATTGCGTTATACTGCATTGATTGGTTGGTTGGTTTTTGGTATAAAAGACCGTGAATTCAAATGGCCTAGCCAAAATTTGTGTCAAATGGCCTAGCCAAAATTTGTGTCAAATGGCCTAGCCAAAATTTGTGTAGCAAGTTGCTGATAGGGCCAAGTCTGGGACCAGAAGCCACTTTTCCCAAGCTCTTTGAGTTGAAGGCATTCTTACCTTGTGATGTTATTTAAAAAACAATACATTATAATTCTGTATGGTAATAGATATGACTGCACCTTTATGCATTCCTTTTTCTTTATGATTTTGTCAACAGACTAAATCCATCTATTTGTATAAATCCAAAACACTTCAGTCATCATGGGGGCAGACACAAAGCTTCATGTAAAATTTAATACATCTTGGTCTGTCAGGCTCTGAGCACTGAATCTTACAGAAGAAATACACTCACCTTTCCAATCCCTTTGTTGTTCCCTAATACCAAGTAAAGCAGGGGCGGGAAAAAGCTTAGTGTACCAAATGTAATAGGAAAACGCATTAAATAGCTCAAGTGTTCTCCTTTAAATATTGTGCTTTATCAAGTGGAAAATCTACACAGTACAAATAGAGTAAGATACATTTTGAAAGTTTATTAAAAACATCAAGGAGTCTTGATCTTCTAACATTGACATTTCTGCTCATTGCAATCAGATCCTTGGATTTTTCACAAGCTGTTGGAGCTGGAGTCAACCCACAGTAAATCTGTATAACTTTGAAACATAGGAAATAATGGTAGACCCCCATGATTAATCCAAAACTTGAAAATATATGCATAGCAATTGGAGAAGGAAAGTAATTCTTTCAACTTTAATTATCACTTTTTAGGTGGAAACTGCAAATGAGAACGATGAGAAAGGAGAACATCTCTACATCCTAATTCCTATTTCTACAGTTAGATTACACCGCATATTTCAGGTCTATCTTCCAACCCCAGAGGGTTAGACCCCCACAGCCTTTAAAAAATAAAATTGAAAATGTCAACATGTACAGAAATAAAAATGGGTGACCATTATGTCACATAAATAGATGTGGAATGACAGACTAGCCCTTTTTATTCACATTCACTTAAGTATTAGGGGATTTTTATTCATTTATGTTATTTATAATTGGAAAGATGTTTGTCTTAGTTGGGGAAATATATTTTCCACATCTTGATAAGCATGTTCCTCAGAATGCCAGACCCAAGAGATGCTTCTTGGTAAAATATTTCTGTGTTCAACTAAGTTTGGGAGGCTGAATTCTCTGCAGCTTGTTCAGATATTAGAGAGCATAACAACGTAACAAAGACTCAGAAACCATTCTGTAAAGACACCTTTAACCTAGCCTCTTCCTAATAATTCTAACATTATTATTTCTAATCATAAAAGCCTATTTCTTGAGAAACACATTAATAGCTTAAGAACGATTGGGTTCTTCCCAACACGCCTGGGAAATCCTGGTAGTAAAACACAGTGAGTGAAACAAGCATTAAATTATAATTAAAATAGATACCATTAACTCCATTTTATATTTCTTTCAGTCATCTTATGCTTTTGAATGCAATCATGTGCCACATAGCAATATTTCAGCCAACAACTGATGGCATATATGATCGTGGTCCCATAAGATTATAATTCCATATTTTTAGTGTATTCTATGCCTAGAAACGTAAGTACTTATCATTGTGTTACAATCGCCTGCTGTATTCAGTGCAGTCACATCCTGAACAGGTTTGTAGCCTGAGCAATAGGCTACACCGTCTAGCCTAGGTGTGTAGTAGACTCTACCATCTAGGTAGGTATGTAAGTTCACTCGGTGATAGTCTCCAACAACGAAATTGCCTGATGATGCATTTCTGAGAATATATGCCCATCATACAGGATATGTAACTGTGATTACGTAGGCTGGGCCCTGAAGTCCCTGCCCAGAATACCTTACTACCTACCTTTCTTTGTCTATGTGAATATCACTCAAAATTCAAACAGTATGCCATACTTCACTAAAACCTTTTTACATTCCAGCTTTGGGATAAATCTTCCTCTCTGTGCTTTCACATCCTTCTGTGTCACCCTTTATCTTGCCTGCACTGTAACTGTCATATATTGTAACGGTCTGGTGACATCTTCGCTGCCCCCTTTAGACATGCAAGTTCCTCGCAAGTATAAAGACGCCATGCCTTTCATTCTCGCTTTGTTGTCCCATAGCCGTTCTCCATCCCTTTCAGCCCTACTGTGTGCCCAGGAGGCCCCCCTGTCACAGAATATATTAGCTGGGTCTTGGGCTTGG